>NC_000013.11:87465100-87768130 GCF_000001405.40 Homo sapiens | reverse complement strand
TATTGCATAAGCCCATTAGCACTGAATAGGGCTACATCATTCAAAAAATTATAATTATAACCCCAGCTGGCTATCTCACATATTCACAATATCTACTTTTTAATTAAATTATGAGACCAAAAATGGAGCAAAGCAAACATTTTGTCACTGAAAATGCCAGTGAGATGCCCAAAGGAAACAGAAAAGTGTATATACCATAAAAAAAAAAAGAAACTTGGGATTATACGTTTTATGAGTGCAAAAAAAATGCATACAAAAAATTACGTTTTTACCCCACAAAATCACAGGTATTCACTTAAATCAATACCATCACTATCTAAGTCTTAAAGGATAATTTGACTGCCTATGTATGACACAGGAAAATAATTATTTTTCATGTGTGGTTCTCAAATCCTATTCTAGTTCTGTTACATAAGTTCTATTAGAGTAATACTAGCACAAAAACTGTTTATGCATTCTCAACATTTGCCTGAAATTGCCCACTCCCAAATTAGCCTTTACAGCAATTTCATGGATATTTTAGTTCAAATGTTGCATTTCCTTCCAGTCATCCAGATTCCCCATGTCAAATTCCCACCAGCAGTACTGGTACTTATATGGTCACAAGGATAGAAGCGAGGCAAAAGCACAAAGGGTATCAAGTGTGTCATAGTATTCATAATTAGCCACTTTGTGGAAAAAAAAAAAATCACTGTCTCACAAAGACACCTGAAATTAGTTTCGCACAATGACCCTCTTCCGCACCTGTATTGTCAGCATCTTGGGCTCAGCTGCAGAGTGGAGGGAACTCTGTATTGGAGTGCAGTCAGAAACCAGTCACACCTGCAGCCTCATAAGTGATGAGCATTGAAATAGAAATTCCCAGTGTCACAATTAACCTTGATAAACTATGATCATTGAACACTCAGTTTAAGTGCATATACAAATACATAGTAAACTTCATGGAACTCTTATCAAAGCTACAAATTGAGCTACTGAAATTTGAGAACAAAGACTAAATTAGGTAAGACTAAATTAGCCCAGGTACACTTAAAAATGTATTTGGGCTAAAAAGGAAATGTCTGATACATAGTTAGTGCAGTTTATTTTTATTTTCTTTTTCTCTTCAGTTAAGAATACTTGGCACTGATGAAACAGTTGTGAATGTTTTACCCTATTTTACTCTATAATGTTTAGCAGTGATTCACCACCTGTATCATGTGTCTCCTAGATGGGTCTTTAAAACACAGGTTGGTGGGCCTTACCCTGTTACATTTAGGCAGCCTGCAGTGGGCCTGAGAATTTGCATTTCTAAAAGCCTCCCTTGTCCTGATGATGCCACTGGATGCTAGATTACACCTGGTGAATTATTACCTTCAAGTGTACTGTCAAATTATGATCTCTAGATTGGTTAGCCTAATTTGTTTTTAGTTTGCGAACTCTTGTGGGGTTTTTTGTTGTTGTTGCAGTTTTTTTGTTGTTGTTTGTTTGTTTCTTTGTTTTGACGGAGTCTCGCTCTGTTGCCAGGCTGGAGTGCAGTGGAGCGATCTCGGCTCACTGTGTTGTCGCAGTTTTAATGATATTTATGTTTTCTATTGTTTCAATTAGAAATCTTTCATGTAAAATTTTGTGACCATGTTATTCCAGCTAATTTTTATGTGTCCTATTATTCTTCTAAAGTAATCTACATTGTTAAAAACTGAGAAGAAAGTTAAAATGTATCCTTTTTTTTTTTACCTGACATATAGGCTTTAGAAATTTATAAATAATTTGCTAATTTTATAAATAATTGTTCAAACAGATGATATAATATAAAGCAGTTGCATACTTAAGAAAATGAGAAAAGGGCTTCCATGTTAACTGTAGACAATAGCTGCAGAGGGCAATATGGATAGCCTATATCCACAGGGTCCTCCCTACCAACAGGAACATAATTATCAATCAGCATTTGCTGTGGAGTCGATCATTTTGGCCATGAGTACATCTGACATCGCAAGCTCTCTAGACTATACCATCAGTCTGTAAGCTCTACCTATGATATGATTCCCCCTGTAAGGTACCTCTCTGCGAAAAGTACAGCTCTAATGCCGTCAGGTTTCTTTACCTGAAGAAGGAACCTGACAAGATTGAAAACAGGATGAATGAAAAAGCAATTCTAGTTGTACAAGAGAACTGGCTGTAACATGTGTTAGTGGTTAGCCTGGAATAACTTCTTCAAATTATTGGTAAACTCATTCCAGGAGAAGATAAAATTTTAGGACTCAGTGTTAGTCCTGAAAAACTGAGACTTCTGGCTGGAGTTCTGTGTCCCAGGGATTTGGGGACATCTCGGTATTTATGGATTCCAGTGAATAATTCAAAGCCTACAAGATAAAATAAGTTGTTTCTGATTCAACCTCAAGAAATGGGCATATTTACATATTCTAAAAAGGAGAAATAAAGCATTGTATTTGCACATTGTGTGAATTGTATCAAAAACCTCTAGAGTCTGGACCCATAACTTAGCCTCTTTGAAATTTTGAGCAGGTTCTACTTTATTTACAACTAAATGTCAACAATATTGAAGAATAGAAATAGTCATTATTGTGAGCACATGCTATGAGAACAGATTTGGAATACAAATCACAACATTTTCTTCTGATTTTATCTACCTTCTTAATCCCCAGATTGCCTCATTATTTTACAATGATTAATATTGTAAACTGGATATGCAGAACTAGATCGTGGTATAAACCAGTATGATAACATTTAATTCACTTTGATTATACCCACATTTTGGGGAACCACATTAAACAAAGTAGACCCCCCAAAAATGACAAAGGGCAAGTCTTGAGGCTAGTTTTGGCTACACAAACTTAAATGTATGAATGAAATATATGGAGGAAGTCTAGAAGAAAAATTTATCTTTGAGTCAACATAGCAGCTTGAAATCTTTTCTTTTAAAGAGACTAGAGGTGTTGTTTAATGGGTATAGTTTTGTATCTACAAGATGAAGAAGTTCTAGAGATATGTTTCAAACATTGTGCGTATACTTAACACTACTGAGCTATACACTGAAAAAGGGTGAAGATGGTACATTTTAGGTAATGTAATTTTTCTTCACAATAAAAAAATCACTGGGATCTAAAACTTCACATGCTAACTTCTTGATAGAATCCTGCCCTTAAAACCCCATGAATACTATTATATTTTTTATTCAATAGTATATCGTATAAGTTATATATACATTAATACAGCAAAAATTATTGTTTTAAGCCCCTGCTTTTTAAAAGGCGTGGTTCATTTGTGTGTATGTTATAGACATGAACAAAACTGTTCCTACCTTCACTAGACTTACAAAACAAATGGAATTTTTTTTTTTTTATGTTTTGTTGTTGTTGTTGAGACAGAGTCTCGCTCTGTTGCCCAGGCTAGAGTGCAATAGTGTGAAATCGGTTCACTACAACCTGCGCCTACCAGGTTCAAACGATTCTCCTGCCTCAGCCTCCCAAGTAGCTGGGATTACAGGTGCCTGCCACCACGCCTGGCTAAATTTTTGGATTTTTAGTAGAGACAAGGTTTTGCCTTGTTGGTCAGGCTGGTCTTGAACTCCTAATCTCAGTTGATCCACCTGCCTTGGTCTCCCAAAATTCTGGGATTATAGACACAAGCCACTGGCCCTGTCCGGAGATTTTTTTTCCACATGTCATTTTGATATATGTCATCTTTTTAAATTCTGTCTAATGTTTCATTGGATAAACTTAACTCTTATTTATTCTCTTACTGTTGAATACTTTGAAGCATTCCACTTTTTGGCTATTACGAATAATACTGAAATCAATACTTTTAAAATATATATATTTGAACACGTGAGAATCTAATTCTTTAAAATACATGTAGACATGCGATTGGATACAAAGGATTTTTGCATTTCAAATTGCCAAGGTATTTGCTGTATTGTTTTAAAAGTGCTTACACCAATTTAATCTCTTATCTTATATATAATTCCTTATTACAACCTTACCAACAAACATCCACAAACTCATAATAATTGTACATACATCAACACCACAAATTGCCTTTTTTTATAATTAATTCAGTTGATATCCATATATGAGGTAGTATATTTTAGTAATAAAAGGTAATGTTCTCTAGTCTTTCTAATCACAGTGTAGCTATTGAACAGGTAACATCAACGTCACCTGGGAGCTTGTTAGAAATACAGAATCCTGAGCCCCAACCCAGATACACTGAATGATAATCTGCATTTTAACAAGATCCCTGGTTGATCCAAATGCAAATTAAATTTTGAGAAGTGCTGATTTAAGATACGCAGGCCTAGGTTTTGGTCTTGTTATACTGCATAAATACTTTACATCTGTGTGAACATGGGCACCTCAATATATCTAAGTTTCCACATCTACATAACGTGAGCAATAATATTACTTATCTCATTTGGTCATTAGGTGATTTCAATGAAATAATATTTATAAAGGAGGTAGCAGAAAGTTTGGCATGTAATAATTATCAAGTAAATATTGGCTTCTATTAATTATAGTGAATCCTATATTTATCACATTATTATTATCTGATTAGTATTTATTTTTTGCTGACTGCTTGTTCTTGATATTAAGTACTAAGAATTTTTTAGATTGAATTTAGTAAGGCTTCCTATATTTATGACTTACAGTTTTTGTGTACTAGTATAAATAGAACTTTCCTTTTCTAATATTATATATTTAATTGGAAGAACATATAAATAAACTCGAAATTTATTATTTATATAGTTTTAATTCTTTAATCCTTTTTTTATTTAATTATTGTTGAACTTTAAGTTTTAGGGTACATGTGCACAATGTGCAGGTTAGTTACATATGTATACATGTGCCATGCTGGTGCGCTGCGCCCACTAACTCGTCATTTAGCATTAGGTATATCTCCTAATGCTATCCCTCCCCCCTCCCCCCACCCCACAACAGTCCCCAGAGTGTGATGTTCCCCTTCCTGTGTCCATGTGTTCTCATTGTTCAGTTCCCACCTATGAGTGAGAACACGCGGTGTTTGGTTTTTTGTCCTTGCGATAGTTTACTGAGGATGATGATTTCCAATTTCATCCATGTCCCCACAAAGGACATGAACTCATCATTTTTTATGGCTGCATAGTATTCCATGGTGTATATGTGCCACATTTTCTTAATCCAGTCTATCCTTGTTGGACATTTGGGTTGGTTCCAAGTCTTTGCTATTGTGAATAGTGCCGCAATAAACATACGTGTGCATGTGTCTTTATAGCAGCATGATTTATAGTCCTTTGGGTATATACCCAGTAATGGGATGGCTGGGTCAAATGGTATTTCTAGTTCTAAATCCCTGAGGAATCGCCACACCGACTTCCACAATGGTTGAACTAGTTTACACACCAGTTAGAATGGCAATCATTAAAAAGTCAGGAAACAACAGGTGCTGGAGAGGATGTGGAGAAATAGGAACACTTTTACACTGTTGGTGGGACTGTAAAGTAGTTCTTTAATCCTAATAAGTTATTTTCCAAATATACTTGCTATGAAATTTATTTATTATCCCTGCTTTCAAACATATTAAAGATAAGTAAACATTTAGCCTGTTCAGTAGTGAGTGCTACTCCTCTTAACATGTCTGTTTATGCTGTGTGTGTGTGTGTGTGTGTGTGTGTGTGTGTGTGTGTGTGTGTCCCTGGGACCTTTTTAAATGATTCAGAAGGCCTTTAACCCTTCCTTAAAAGGGTTACTTTAGTATACTTTAATAAATCTGTCTGCTATTTTTGCCGCTTTATATGGAGCTTACATTTTTCTAGGTTCAGTTTTATTTCATTACTTATAGCTCAACTAAGTTTTTGTTTTATCAACCTTTTGAGAGTAAAAAAAAATGGATACACATTTTTTTTTCATTTACTAAACACTTTTATCACCTCTGGGGATGTGTGCACAATAATGCTGACCTCCCACAGTTAAACATTCTGTTCACTCAGTGCATGAGATATTTCATCTTTGATCAGCATGGAGGCCTACTGGGTACTTTATTCATAAATGATAGGCTTCTTCACTTTTTAGCTTCAGGAAAGTTTTCTTTAAATCTCCATAATCATTTCAGTGTTGCTTCCTTCTTAAAACAAATGTGTTTGTGTTAATGATTTAGAATTCCCTATGGAGAATAAAGAGATGGTAAATTTTATTCCATGATCAAGACAGGGGAAAAAGAGGGGGAAGCTACTAGTAGGTTCTTTCTGATTAAAAACTTCTTTGTATATACTTTGGAACTACTCACAATTTAAGATGTGGATATATATATATATATATATATGATTCATATTGCTATTCTTTTATTAGAGGAAAATATCTGTGATTTCCAATTTTATTCTCAAATTTTATTCCCCCACTTTCCTTTTATTTGAAACACAGATAATCTATAAAGTTATATTCCAGATGATGACAAGTTCCTCATAGGAAAGAAAGGACACAGAAATAGGTTTTGCTTTTGGAAGAGTATAGGAGGAAAAGGTGGTAGCCATAGGGTGGGTAAGAAGAAAATTAGAATAAGTAAATAAATAACAAAAGCCTGATGGTCAGGGACTTGTGTGGTGGTTTAGAATTCTAGGTAGCCACAAAGACCAAGAGTGCCTTCAACCTCTTGTCAGCTCTTCCCTGGGCTTCCACCAGATGCTCATGAAAAAGTTTGGGCTCATGTTAGGGGACCTGAGAGAACTCTCAATGGGGCAAGTGCATAAATGATGGTTAGTTTCTGCTTCAGCATAGGTGCCAACTACTGAGGTCTTCTGCCATACAGAGAAAAAAACATCTGCCACCAAGGTAAGAGCAGAAATTCTTTCACTGTCAATCACCACCACCCACCATCTGTTCCTGGCAAATTTAGCCAGTGTGCTAGGGGTAAAAATAAAAGTTATCTGCATCTGGGTGATGGGCAAGGAATAGCCACAGCAGAAGTCCCAGGCAAAAGCTAGGGTCAACTAAGTGAAGGGAAGAAAACCTATGCACAGCTTTCTATCATCAATGATGCTATGCAACACCATTTGCTCCTAGGCCAGGGGCAGTGACCTGTGGCCACCAGAAAGGAGGCAGGAAACAGAATTGAACATAGGTTTCTGGTGATACAAGACAGAATTCAGCTTCCACAGTGGATGTGTAAGGATGCTGAGAAAAACACCCCTGAAGATCACATGGCAATGCTCTCCTGTAAGTGACAAGCTCCAGCAGTTCACACATAGGCAGAAGAAAAGCAAGTCTGCTTAGAAAGACCACCATCTTTGATGCAGGCATTCAGTCTTGCTGAAATTAGAGCATAGCACTGAGAAAAAGTGGTCTTGTACTTCAAATCTCACTCTGTTTTAAAGCAGCAGTAGTCTATCACTGGAGAAATTTGAGGTCTGTGGTGCACTTAAGGTAACTCAAGCAATAATAAACTGAAACATAGCTCAACTACAGAATAGAAAGACTCAGCTCACCATATCAACAGAACGAAACTCTACATTTTCTTGGCATAAATATTGTTTACCTCAGTTTTTGGTGTAATTTTATCAACCAGTGTCCAGCACCTGGTCATACGTGCATATACTACCTGTTTTCCACAGAAAAAGCAGTCAATACAACCAGAAACAGTGATAATACATATTTCGGTATTAAATACTATGAGAAGGGGATTAAAGTAACTATAGTTAATATGTTACAGCCAAACTGGAAAGGTAGATAACATTAATTCATGAGCAGATGGGAATTATCACAGACAAATGAAAATTGTAAAAAGCACATTGAAAATGGGGTAGATATACAATATATACACAGGTACACAATCAGAAAATGAAACAAATTCCAAATTCATATATATATACTCACATACATGCATGCTTAGCTGTGTTCTAATTAAATTAATGAAAGTCATTAATAAACAAAATATCCTGATGTAACTCAGTGGGGAAAACATTACACAAAAAGGAAGAGAAATAAAAATGATAGCAGGATTCTTATCCCACACTATACAGGCCAGAACACAATGGAGTGAGATCTTTAAATTACTAAAAATAAAAATCTATCAACATAGAATTCTAGAGCCAGAAAATAATATATTTTAAAAGTGAAGATGAAATATATAGTTTTTCAACAAAAAAAATACTAATAAATTCATTGCCAGGAGAATTGCATTGCAATAAATGTTAAAAAATAAAAGCTTTTCAGACAGAGAAATCATGGTAAAACAAAGAATGTAGAACCAGTAATGTATAAGGAAATACTGAATAATTGTATGACTATTCATCTTAAAAGATACTTGTTTGTTTGTTTGAGATGGAGTCTTGCTCTGTCTCCCAGGCTGGAGTGCAGTGGTGTGATCTCAGCTCACTGCAACCTCTGCCTCCTGGGTTCAAGCAGTTCTCCTACCCAGCTTCCTGAGTAGCTGGGATTACATGTGTGCACCACCATGTCCGGCTGATTTTTGAATTTTTTATTAGAGACGAGGTTTCGCCATTTTGCCCAGGCTGATCTCGAACTCCTGACCTCAGGTGATCCGCCCACCTCGGTCTCCCAAGGTGCTGGGATTACTGGGGTGAGCCACCACATCCAGTCCATCTTAAAAGATATTTAACTCTAAAAGAAATATAGAAACTCTACACAAATAAAGAAACCAATACCCTAAACAAATATGGAAACAATGTTTTTTGTGGATAATAACATTTTTAGAATTAGCTTGCACAACAGCAATAACACAAAAATGGGAGTGATAAAAGCAGGATTTTGTTGTAATGTTTTCATACTTCATATTAGATAGCATAAAATTAGTGGAAAACAGCCAGGTAAGTTACAGTTATACTGTAAGTCATAGAGCAATATTTTAAATTAAAGCAGTTGAAAACTATTAAACCAATAGTGAGAATAAAATAGAATCCTAAAACTGCTGACTTAATTAAAAAAATAAGCAGAAAGAGAAGAAAAGTGAAAAGGACAGATTTCACAACAAGAAAAATATCAGAGTGGTTGATTTAAGCACAACCACACTGATAATCACATTAAATAAAAATAAATACTGCAATTAAAACGCAGACTGATGGACAAAATAACAAGTCAAGACCAAACTCAGTGTCATCTGTTACAAACACACTATCTATGGGATCTACTATCTAGGTTAAATGTAAAAGGATGAAAAGAAAAATGTATTATGCAAACACTATTTAAAAGAAGTTGTAGTGGCTAAATTAAAATCAGAATAAAAGACTTTATGCAAAGAAATATTGCTGGAGACTAAGACGTTAACTGTATAAAAATAACATATTAATCTTTAAAAATTATTAATTTTTACTTACCTAATGACAGTTTCAAGAAAAGTAGAAATTCATAATAGTAAAAAGATTAAAATAATTAACAATCATAGTTGATAAATTCAACATTCTTTTGCAGTATTTGATAAAACAAGTAGACGTAAAATCAGTAAGAAATAAATCAACTTGGCCTAATTAGTATTTGCAGAATACTGCACACAGTGAGAATACACATTTATTTCAAGTTGATACAGAATAGTTACCACATAAGACCACATTTTATTTCAGAAAAATAAAAGTTTCAAGAAATTTAAAGAAATAGAAGTCATACAGATCACATGCTTAAGCAACAAATAATTTGCTTGTTAATGAATAACAGAAAGATATCTGGAAATAAAAATTATTTTGAAATTAAACAATCCTTTAAAATTATGCATGGATCAAAGAAGAAATTTCAAAATCCATTTCCTACTCCATTAAATGAAAATAGAATGTATCAAAAATTGGGGGATGCAACCAAAGCTGTACTTAATTTTATAGCCTTTAGTGGCTCTCTCTCTCTCTCTGTGTAGGTGTATATGTATATAGGGATATATATGAATATATATAGGGATATATAGATACACACACATCATTGATGTGTACACGGCACATCTTAAATCAATAATCTGAGCTTATTTTTTGGAAAATTAGAAAGAAAACAAATTAGATGCAAATTAGATAAAGGGAAGTCTGTAATAAACATAAGGACAAAAATCAGGGAATTAATCAGCATATATATTGCCAATTTATCTTTCAAAAAATGCAAAGGCAATGCAATGTAGAAAATATGGTTTTGTGGTTTTTCCAACAAATGATGCTGAAATATTTTGATATCAATTTTTTAAAAATTATGTAGAAACAGATCTTATACCTTTTACAAAAATTAAATCAAAATTTATCATTGATATGAATGTAAAATTAAGAATTATAAAAATTCTAGATAGAAACGTAAGTGACAATATATAAGACCTTAGGTTTGGTGGTGAATACTAGATAAAACACTAAAGCCATACTCCATGCAAGTACTAGTTGATTAATTGGACTTTATTAAAATTTAAAACATTTTCACTGAAAAAGAAAATTGTTAAAACAGACAAGCTATAGATTGGGAGAAAATATTTGAAACACCACATATGTATGAAAGGGCTTTCATCCAAACTCTACAAAGAAACACATAAAACTCAACAATTAAAAAGTGAACACAAGTTGTTTTTTTGTGTGTTTGTTTCTTTGTTTTTGAGACGGAGTCTCGCTCTGTCGCCCAGTGGCTCACTGCAACCTCCGCCTCCTGGGTTCAAGCAATTCTCCTGCCTTAGCCTCTTGAGTAGCTGGGATTACACGCTCCACCACGCCTGGCTAATTTTTGTATTTTTAGTAGAGATGGGGTTTCACCATGTTGGTCAGACTGGTCTGGAACTTCTGATTTCGTGATCCGCCCGCCTTGTGGTGATCCCAAAGTGCTAGGATTACAGGCACGAACCACCGTGCCTGGCCAACACAAGTTATAAAAGATCTAAACGATCTAACGATGATCTAAATGATCTCTCACAAAGGAAGATATACAGATGGAAATAAGCATATGAAAAGATGATCAAAATCATTAGTCACTGTGGGAAAAAGTAAAAATTATAATGAGATGCCACTACACACTTATTAATGGTTAAAAAAAAAAACAAAACAAAACGAAATCTGACAGTGGCAATTTCTGGCAAAGGTACAGAACAAAAGACACGCTCATTAACTGCTGGTGGGAATACAAAATAATGCCACAACCTTAGGACATAGCTTGACCATTTATTACTAGTGTAGTGGAGGTCCTGAGCTAAATTCAGTGACAAATGTTCATAGTAATAAGTCACAAGTACACAGATATAATAGTATTTTAAATACATAATAATACTGCATCCCTTTATTTATCCTCATGACTTTTTTTTTTGGTCAATCCTGAATCCGCATTCCTAGGTAGTCAATTAATTGGAAAACTTATGTCTCCACAAAATCCAGCATGTGAATATTTGTAGCAGCTGCATTCATGGTCACCAAAAATGGAAATTATCATTATGCACTTAAGTGGATAAACAAAATGTGATGCAGCCATACAGTAGAATACTGTTAAGAAATGCAAAAGAACGAGCTATCGATCCATGCATGGATCTTAAATGCATATTGCTAAGTGAAAGAAATCAATCTGAAAAAGCTATGTACTACATGATTCCCTTCATCTGACATTTTGGAAAGAGTTTTTGACATGCATTTTGATACTGGTTTCAAGGGTGTATTCTTATCTACAAACACATCAAGTTTTATAAATCAAATATCTACAGCTGTTTACATGTCAATCATATCTCAATAGAGTGGCTTAATTGAGAGAGAGAAGAGAAAATAGGTGTAAAGTAAATATCCTGAAATTTGAAGGAAGTACAAAATTTAAGAGGGAGAGAAATTTATGTACTGATTAGTAAAATGCAATGTAAAATAAAAATGTGAATAAATGACAAAAGGAAAGTATGATAAAACCAGAAAATAAAATACTATTCTGCAACCAAAATAAGTAAATAAATTATGATTCATGTAACAACATGCAATGAATCTCTACAGAATAGTGCTAAGTAAAAGAAGCACATTTAGTAGGTATGTATCAGACTCCTTTTACATGCCATTCTAGTAACGATAATACTGTACTGACAGAAGACAAATGAATGACTGTCAGACATTTGGAGAAGAAAGAGGGAAAAGTTTTTCTCCTGTCTGCAAAAGGGCAGGAGGAAAAGTTTTGGGGTAATAAAATTATTCTATACATTCATTATGTTTTTGGTTAAGCAGCTCATCACTGTGATCATAAAAAGTCTGATTTTTAATTTTTTTTTTATATAATGCTGCAGTAAACTTCACTTTTAATGAAAAGTTCAGTGTATAGGTTTACTGCATGAGAGACACCTAGGGATTTAATGTTATCAAGCACTCAGATTTCTGGGCCCTGAGCAGACACATTAAATAAGAACCTCGGGATGTGGAGCCTGAGAAGCCACACCTTTCAAAATTGCCTTCCAAGCCCCGGCTCTGACATAAGCATTTGCTTGACTATTCCATGCTTAGAAATGCCTGCTGAGCTTGTTAAATAAATCAGTTTATCATGTTTCACTGGAAATAGGTAAAATCTGTTCTTTTATTAATAAACACAAAACGTTATTATATGATATGCTGCTTGCATCAGCTTTCTGAGGTCAGACACGTCGATTTTGGTATCACAAGTAAGACCACAGACTTTTAGTATCTCATTGGCACAAACAATGGGGCTGTATTTAGACATAACTACATTTCAGGTTATAGAAAAGTTCACTTCATCAAGAGCTTCATAAAGATCCACTCAGAGGCTTGACGGAGAAGTAAATTTAGCGGTTAATTTTGTGTAAGGGTCTCAGATGAGTTGAGCACAAAACACCTGTGCTCAGCAATCTCTTGGTGACTTATTTGTTTGCAGGTGAAAAGCGAAGTGATAGCATGATGTTAAGTTTATTTATGTTACTACATACAGACTATGTCTGAGCTTTACTTTCTCAATAATTTCTTTTCTAAAGTTCTGATGACTTTTTATATTAAACATTAGGAATTGTTTTGTTAGATTGTAGTGGATTAAGAGTCAAGTAACTTTGTGAATTTTCATGCCTTGGTATAGTTATTGCAGCTGAGGCACTAAAAATATGTCATCCAATGGTATTGATGAATGCTTATATTTGTGGAACGTTAGCATGATGCTAGGGATACAAAAATGAAAGGAGTTCTTGCTTTCAAATTAAGTTATTAATATATTCTAGTGATAGAATGAAATGCACAGTCTATCATTCCATGGTATAAACTCACAACCATTTGTTCAAACACAAAATCCCAGATACCGAAGTTTTAATGGCACTTTCTTTTGTTAAATTAGCATGTTTTCATTAGAAAAAAAAGTGGATCGATAGTTTTGTTTTGGCGCAGAAGAAGATCACAACTTCCACAAGATCAACAACTTTAAATGGCTTGGATTTAAAATCAGAGTTGCAAATGTTTACATGCCATGAAATATTATCTAATATAAATTGTAAATATCAATTGAAATAGTATCCAGCCAAGCATCACAATATGTTAGTCATTATAATATCTGTATTAAACTACAGAGGATTTTTATGAGTTTTTTAATTATAACTTTAACTTGATTTATTTTCATATCCCTAACTTATTTGCAAACCTATATCCGGTAATTGGACAAAGAGCTACAAAACAACAAATATTTCACACTAATCTCAGGTAATTTTCCAGTGGATAGCAATTGCATTTTTGCCCATAACAGATAGGCATCCTGTTATATTCTAGCAAATGTCAGCCTTACTTGACAAGGGCAGCAATCTGCTTGATAAGGGGCTCACATTTCTTCTTGTTCCCAGCCTTCACTGTCTTTCACTTCTGTGCCTCAGGCACCACACAAGGTATGAAGTTTAAGTCCATGTGCTTATGCTCTCTGCTAACCAACTCATGACGACTGACAGTTGTGTGAACACCTGACTTAAAATAGTATCATCTCAATCACTTGCAGATAGATAAATAGCAGAAGCATAGACATGAATCTTATAATACAATGTCATGCTTGAAGAAGTTGCATTTAGAGTTGCCCTTAGCAACCAATCTAGTTTATTTTCCTCCTTTCAAGTGCAAGCTATTTTTCTGCTAAGATGGAAGTTTCCTATTTTTCAGGGAGTCTTCCTTTCAGTTCATGTACTTTTTCTTATACATGTGATCATTCACAATTCTCGTATGGTTTGCCTAGCATCAAACTCTGTCAATGGCAGAGTTTAATAATATTTTTCACTTTTTATTTTTCTACAGTTATATTATTACCAAAAAATACTATATTTTATTTCTCAAATGAATTTATTTCAAGTGTGTACAGGGTTGGACAGCTCCTGTACAAATCTAATTGATGCTAAACAAAAACTAATATTTGAAATTAAGTATGAAAATAAAGTTTTATTTTATTTGTTTTAAAAGTAAATGAACTCTTTTGATTCCAGATTAAAAGATTATTTATCTAATTACATGGATTTCTACACTAATTTTGCCCTGTTAACTATCATTTAAAACATTTGTAACCGGAATAATGGAAATAGGTACATACCAATAACATAACTTTAATCTTTGGAACAAATTATAACCTACTATTAGATTGAATTTTGTTAAGGTACAAAACTCAGAAAGTGTTATCAGAGATAAATAATACCAGAACCTCAGCATGGTTAATTTATACTCATTTGTTATTTCATCAAATGTCAGGGCAGAATTTTTAGATCCTCTTTCTTTAAATTTACAATGTTCCAGGAAGAATAACTCAAATGATAATGTGTCTTTCAAGTGTTAGATGACTGCTATTAATAGTAAATAAAGTAATTTCAATTATTTTTACTTAAATGTGGTCTTGCCAAATACTCTGTAATATTAGACTCTTTTATGTTTGTTAAGCTTTCAGCTTGTAATCCTTCCTCCTTCCTACCTTCCAAAATATAATATCCAGAATAATCTTCCTCAATTCATATTAGGATAACCTTACTTTTGCTTTTGTCAGTTTAGCAAACGTGTGGTAGCCAGCAAGCAAGACATTGGACTTAAAACTCTGAATAATAACTGGCATACACATGGCCTCTCGGTACTATTTATTAGTAAATATTTAGACATATATTCTATATCATTAATGTAATTAAAACACACCTGACACTGGTGCTTCTCTAAAATGTCTTTCTTCAAGGTCCCTACCATGAGATCAACTTGTAAGTGAAATGATCCTAAAAGAAAATATAATGGTTCTATTATCTTATGTAGAATCCATCCTATATCGAATTTTGAGGATAAAATTATTTACTGGGTCAGATTTTTCTTAATAGCTTATGCATATGCTGTCTGTTCCATAACACTGCAGGGGCATTATGAATTTACATTAATATAAATGCATGAAATATCCTAGGCCCTGAAATATCAATAGATGCAGTATTGCATCTGACTACACAATAACTCACACAGAATGATTGAGTGACCACAGTGAACATCTTTTATCAGTAATGCTTTGCGGTTTTGCCTAAAAAATGTGAGCCCCAAATATTCACAACTGTTCTATATAACAGAGTATATGACAATCCTACAAGATTTTTTGAAAGGGAGTATTCTGAATCGAAAATTAGGATTAAAAATATTATATGTAGTTGGTGGAAATAAAAGTTAGTATATAAACAATTATAATATATATTTATATGTAACTTACCATATCAACATACTTTCAAAACCATGATTTTACTGTATTTTTACAACAAAATCCTTTTCTGAGATTCTCAATTTATGCAAAAGGAAGCCATTCCCATGATAGATCAAATAATTTCTTCCCTGACTTGCAGAACTATAAAGTAGAATTGGTAAGATAGGTACCAGTCAATATTATTTCAAACCAAAGTCTTAGTTTTTACTTTGTTTTTTGGATTTAATGTAACATTGGTACCATAGTTCTAGTGGTATAAGCTCCAGGTGCTTTTACTAAAACACAGTTTTACTTAAACCACCTCCCCGACACAACAAGAGTAGTTCTGCTTCATTTGTTTGCACACTGAGCTTTGTAAAATTCTGTCTCAATAAAGGATTCAGTAGCTTAAGAAATTTGAAGAATGCATTAAATATATACTTTAAAAATGATAATAATTTGGGGCATAATACTGAAGAATTTTAAAAATCTGATATTGTAAAAATGTACTGTCTGAGGTTATTTTGAACATTTGCTTTCTGATATTCTCTTAAGAATAGGAGCAAAGCTGGGGTTGATCTAAGGAATATCTAGAGTTAACATAGTAGATCTAATAAATATCTAAAGTTAACATAGTCATATAGTACTTTTATATAGTTAGATATCTCAGAGTTAAAAAAATAAAACTCAAATCTGGGGCTTTAGCAGTCAGTGGATTATATACCTGATATTCATTGTTCTCTATGGCTATTGTCCTATTATTTTTTAAAGAATTTGAACAAAGTGTCAACTAAAATAATTCACCTGGTAGTAATAAAAACATTTTTAAAAAGTTTCAAGCTTACATTTAAATTGAAAATACCAGCGTGAACTTGTAAATAAGCCTTCCCCATCATCCATCACCCAAACTTTCGTTTCTAAATTTCATTCCCAAGAAAGAAATGAAAGCTTTCTGTAGAAATAGTTAAATCTAAGTCTGGTACAGGGAATATACAAGTTGATCTTGGGTCATCTGTGTGGGTGGGGTGTGTGTGTGTGTGTGTGTGTGTGTGTGTGTGCACCCCTAGAAAGGAAAACTATACAGCCACAAAGAATTTGTCAACAGTTTGCAGAAAACAACTGGAAGGAGCTCTCCTTTCTAAGATATAATATTTTAAACAAAAAATAAGAACAATGATTCCCATTGATTAAAATAGTTCAAATATATAAAAATCCAAGAGTATGTAGAGAAGATTTGAAAACAACTCATAGTAGAGCTTGCTTGGGTCACCAACTAGTTACCCTGAAACATTTTAAATTAAAGAAAAAAATTGTTTATCTTGACTTTCTTACCTTAACTGTATTTGAGATAACCAAATTGTTAATGATAATAAATTCCTGTACATAGAAGAAAGCCACTGAGTAAATGCAGACAAAAATTAGAAATTAACCATTTTGTAATTCCTAATGAGACAACTGATTTATGTGAAAATAATCAATGTATCGTAAAGTGGCATTAGTTCAAAGTTTAATGTAAATGTTTTAATGAAACACTCAAGCTAATACTTGGACTCAGAAAGCTACGGGATTTCTGAAGATTATTTGAAAATATTGAAGACTAATATACTAAAATTCTATTTGGAAAAATGGATTAAAAAATTACAGATATATATTGCAAAAATTCAAGAGAGTGGTACATTCCACAAACTGAAAACCATTCAATTATAGGCTTAATTCATACAATAATGGTCTAGTAAAAGATATGCTTCCATAACACTCTTGAAGAGCTGTACAATTTTTTTTAAAAAAACCACTCCTTATTATGGTATAAAGACTTCTTTTTACTAAAAAATATGCTAACTAAATATTCTATAAGGAGTGCAATTTTGATATTATTGTATCAAACAGACATACTCATCAATTTATTCAGCATAATCATGTGATAAAACTATAATAAGTAAGTAGCATAAATACTAGAGCAAAAAAGACAAAAACATCACTTTTTGCAGAGAATACAATTTTTACATAAAATTAAAAGTCACTGAAAATATTTTTAATATATATAAAAATGGTAACAAAATAATTAAAAATACAAGTAAGCCAAAAGGGTGAATATGATATACAAACACTTCTTAATGAAAGAAGTATAATTTGATTACAAGTATTTTTAAATATTTAATTTTATTCATAATATAGAGAACAAAATTTAAAACAATAGATAATTGTCCACTCAATAGATTTTCAAAACTAAAAACTATTTATACCTTATTAAATATTGCTAAAAGGCTGAAAATTGATGCTATTATACACTGAGTTAGAGTATAAACTGGGGACCTATTTTTGGAAGGAGTTTTAACTATTTTTAAAATTGTTAAATGGTCAGATCCTATAATCTTGCTGTTTCTCTTGGGGGAAAATTATGTACATTTTTGCTCATAAGCACATGAAGATTATCAATGTAGTATGTTTTGGTAGCAAAAAATAATGAAATGTCCTCATCATGTAAAAGGGTTTATTTAAGCATAGTGTAGAAGCACCAGGGTTAGATTTTTCTGGATAAAGGAAGGCTTCCTTTCCCAAATACACAGTAACTGAGACTTTATTTTTTAAAGATAGCTAGGTAGGTAAAATTTTAATGCCAGTATATTTCCAGTGGAAATATATAGACATACCCCAGAAATATTATGGGTTCAATTTCTGACTGCTGAAATAATGTGAATATAGCAATAAAGCCAGTCACATGAATTGTTTTTGGTTTCTCACTGCATATAAAAGTTCTGTTTACATTGCACTGTAGTCTATTAAGTGCACAATAGGATTATTTTTAAAACTATATATATATATGTACCTTAATTCAAAAAAATTATTACTAAAAAATCTTAACTCTCATCTGACCCATTAGCGAGTCACAATCTTTTTTGCTGGTGGAGGGTTTTGCCCCGATGTTCATGGCTGCTGACTAATCGGGGTGGTGGTTTCTGAAGCCTGTGGTGGCTGAGACATTTTCTTAAAATAAGACAATCGGCCGGGTAAGGTGGCTCACGCCTGTAATCCCAGCACTTTGGGAAGCTGACGTGGGTGGATCACGAGGTCAGGAGATCGAGACCATCCTGGCTAACACGGTGAAACCTCATCTCTACTAAAAATATAAAAAATTAGCCGGGCGTGGTGGTGGGCGCCTGTAGTCCCAGCTACTCGGGAGGCTGAGGCAGGAGAATGGCGTGAACCCAGGAGGGGGAGCTTGCAGTGAGCCGAGATCGCACCACTGCACTCCAGCCTGGGAGACAGAGCAAGACTCCGTCTCAAAAAAAATAAAATAAAATAAAATAAAATAAAATAAAATAAAATAAAATAAAATAATAAGACAATGAAGTTTGCTGCATCCGTTAACTGTTCCATTCACAAAACTTTTCTCTGTAGTATGTAATGCTGTTTGATAGTAATTTACCCAAAATAGAACTTCTTTCAAAACGAAGTCTATCAAATCCTGCCTCTGTTTTATCAACTAAGTTTATATATTTTAAATATATTCTCATCATTTTGACAATGTTCACAGTATCGTCACTTGACATAGATTCCATTTCCATAAACTTTCTTTGCTCATCCATAAGAAGCAGCTCCTCATAAAGCTTTATCGTATGATTGCTGCAATTTTTTCACATCTACAGATTCCACATATAATTCTAGTTCTCTTGCTATTTTCGCACATTTACAGTTATTTCCACCACTGAAATCTTCAACTCCTCAAAATCACCCATGAGGATTAAAATCAACTAATTATAAACTCCTGTTAACTTTAATAATTTAATCTCTTCCTAAGAACCACAAATGTTCTTAGTGGCATCTAGAAGGATGAATCCTTTTCAGAAATTTTCAGTTTTGCCCAGATCCATCAGAGGAATCACTACCCATGGTAAATACAGCCTTATGGAATGTATTTCTTAAATAATAAGACTTGAAAATTGAAATTATTCTCGGATTCATGGGCTGTAGAATGGATGTTGAATTAGCAGGCATGAAAACATCATTAATCTCCTTGTACATCTCTATCAGAGCTCTTGGGTGACCAGGTGCATTGTCAATGAACAGTAACGTTTTGAAAGAAATTCTTTTCTGTGCAGTAATCTCAACAGTGGGCTTTAAATATTCTGTAAGGAATGCTGTAAACAGACATGCTGTCATCTAGGCTTTGTTGTTTCATTTACAGAGCACAGACAGAGAAGATTTAGCAGAATTCTTAAGGACCTTAGGATTTTGAGAATGGCAAATGAGCACTGGCTTCAACTTAAAAGTCACCCTCTGCTTTAGTCTATAAAAAGAGAGTCAACCTGTCTGCTGAAGCAAAGCATTGACCTTTCTTCTCTAGCTATGAAAGTCCTAAATGGCATCTTTTTTCCAAGAGAAGGCTGTTTTGTCTACGTCGAAAATCTGTTGTTTAGCGTAGCCATCTTCATTAATGATTTTTGCTTTATCTTTTGAAGGACTTTTTGCTTCTTTACCTGAACTTGCTGCTTGCACCTTGCATTTTTTTTTTATTTTTACAGAGAAAGCTTCTTTTCCCTAAACTTCATGAACCAACCTACCTTTGCTAATTTCAGACTTTTCTTCTGCATCTTCCTCGTCTTTCTCAACTTTAATAGAATTGAAGAGATGTAGGGCCTTGCTCAGATTAGGCTTTGGCTTAATAGAATGTTGTGGCTGGTTTCTATCCAGACCTCTCAAACTTCTCCATATCGCCAATAAGGCTGTTTTGCTTTCTTTATTTTTTTTTAAGAGTTATTTTATTTTTATAGACTCAAGGAATACAAGTGCAAATTGTTACATGGATATATTGCAAAATGATGAGGTTTGGGCTTCTAGTGTACCCATTCCCCACATAGTACACATTGTCCTCAACAGGTAATTTTTCAACCCTTACCCCTCAACCTTCGAGTCCCCAGTGTCTATTATTTACCTCTGTATGACCTTGTGTACCTAATGTTTAGCTCCCACTTACAAGTAAGAACATGCAATATTTGATTTTCTCTTTCTGTGTTATTTCACTTAGGATAATGGCCTTCAACTCCACCCATGTTGCTGAAAAAGACATTTTTTTTTATGGATGAGTACTATTCCATAGTATATATATATATACCACGTATTCTCTATCCAACACTCCATTGATGGACACTGAGGTTGATTCAATGACTTTGCTATTGTGAATAGTGCTGTGATAAATATACCAGTGCAGGTGTTTTTTTGACACAAAGACTCCTCCAAAAGACTCCTCAACTTAATAAGTTACCTCAGTGAAGTTTCAGACACAAAATTAATGTACAAAAAAATAGTAGCATGTTTATATATCAATAACAATCAAGCAGAAAACCAAATCAAGAAGGATGCCAGTCCCATTTAAAAAGCCATAAAAGTAAAATAACTAAGAATATATTTAACCAAGGAGGTAAAAATTCTCCCCAAGGAGAACTACAAAACACAGAAAAAAAATTGTAGATGACACAAACAAATGGAAAAATATCCTATGCTCCTTAATCGGAAGTATCAATATTGTTAAAATTACCATACTGCCCAAAGCAATCTACAGATTCAATGCAATTTCTATCAAATTATCAATGCTATTTTTCACAGAATTCGGAAACCACAATCCTAATCCTAATGTTATTGACCTGAAGTCCAGTAACTACAGGCAAGGCAGTTTCACATTTTGCTCTCTGTAGAAACTGTACTGTGTATACATGAATGTGGTGGAATGTTTTTCTCTACTGCTAACACATTGCTCATACTCTGATCTAAAATTCATATGGAATCAAAAAGAGCCTGAATAGCCAAATCAATCCTCAGCAAAAAGAATAAAGCTGGAGGCATCATATTACCTGACTTCAAATTATACTTCAAGCCTGTATAAACAAAAACCACATGATACTAGTACAAAAAGAGATACATAGATCAATAGAACAGAATTGAAAACCCAGAAATAAAGCCTCTCACTAAAACCAACTGATTTTTGACAAAGTTGATAAAAATATACAATGGGGTAATGAAACTGCATTTGATAAATGATACTGAAAAAAATTGATATTTTTTTCAGTATCATTTGATAAATTTTGTATCATTTGATTTTTTTGTATCATTTGATAAATGATACAAAAGCATTTGATAAATGACACTGAAAGAAATTGATAAAAGGAAGCAGCTAAGCTAGACTCCTTTTCTCACCATATATAAAAATTAAGATGGATTAAAGACTAAATGTAAGACTTGAAACTATAAAAATTCTAGAGGAAAACATAGGAAAAACTCTTCTGGACTTTGGCTCAGACAAAGAATTTATGTTTTGCTTTCTTATCATTTCTGTGTTCACCAAAGTAGCACTTTTAATTTCCTTTACGAGCTTTTCCTTTGCCTTCACAAGATGGTTAACTGTGTGGCACAGTAGGCCTATCTTTCAGCCTATCTTGACTTTCAACCATACCTTCTTCGCTAAGATAATCATGTCTGCCTTGAACTTAAAGTAGAAGAGGTGCTACTAATCCTCTTTTAACTTGAACACTTAGAGAACATTATAGGGTTATTAATTGGCATAATTTTAATATTCCTGTGTTCAGGAAATAGGGAGACCAAAGGAGAGGGAGAGAGATGGAGGAAAAGCCAGTAGTAGGTGGAGCAGTCAAAACACATAGTTTTATCATTAAGTTTTCCATCTTTTATGGCCAAATTTCATGGTACCCTAAAGCAATTACTAGGAACATCAAAGATAACTGATCACAGTTCACCATAACAGATATAATAACAATAAAAAAGCTTAAGTATTGCAAGAATTACTAAAATATGACACAGACATATGAAGGAAACACATGCTGTTGGAAAATTACTGCCAATGGACTTGCTCAACCTAGAGTTGCCACAGATCTTCAATTTGTAAAGAGTTCAATGTTTTTAAAGCACAGCAAAGTGAAATGCAATAAAACAAGGTATGTCTGTACAACAACAAAGTAGTAATTCTGGCCATTCTCATGCCCTCACTCAGATTCACCTCCATAGTGAGAAGTGTTGTTGTTTTTAAAAACAGTGGGAGAATGTCATAAACTTCTGGCCTTTTGTAGAACATATGCTAAAAAATAGCTACTATTGATGAAGGGTTAAATTTCAGTTAACACTTGTACACTGCTGATATTGTGTTCTTAAAATTTCTAAGCCACAACCTTAATTTTGTTTTTTTGATTATGATAGCTATAAAGTTTATAAAGTTTAGAAATTTATAACAATCCATTGTTTTTGCTGCATTGTTTGTTTAGTTTCCAAACTCATTTTTCTTTAACAATTGAATTGATTTGGCAAGGTAAGCCTATTCTTTTTCCAAAGACTATTTTGAGGAGGTGCAGAAGTATTCCCTGTTCGCCAATTAAATTGACTTGTAAGATAACATTCTGAGAAATTAGATGATACAATCAATCACATCTTCATAGCTACTTTATCATTTTGAATATAATTTATGTCACTCCTTTAAAACCACTAATATATTCAGTGGCATAGAAAATATTTGTTTGCACTTCTTATGGAAGTCTGCCACTTTGTTATTGACCTGATGTCTGGTACCTAGAGGCAAGACAGTTTCACATTTTGCTGTCTGTAGAAACTGCACTGTGTATACATGAATGTGGTGAAATGTTTTTCTTGATTGCTAATGTATTGCTCATACTCAAACTGATACTCTGGTCTTAGTTTCCCAAAGGTTGCTTTGAGAAGGACATGTAAGAGCACAATTCCTCCCTTTATATGTTCATCCTTTTGTGGAGCAAGTGTGGCAGTCGAAGGGAGAAAAGTGAATCTCTTGGATTTGAGAATCAGAAAATAATGGGTTGAAATCCAGGAAGTGCTTATTATAAATGTGTGATTTGGGCTAAATAGCCAAACTCTAAACTTGAGTTTCCCTGTTTATAAGAAGGGATAACATTCTTTGATGACATGGCTGTTGCCAGCCTGAAAAGAGATGACCTCTTCAAGCTGTCAAAGAATTTATAGATCACATACTCAAATGTTCCCAATCTGTACTTTCTGGTGCAGGTAATGAGAAAATAAGTGGCTTGCAACTTATTCTGATCAACTTCCTAACCTTTAAAATGTTGTAATAGTACCTATTATGTAGGTACCAGAAGAATAAACTGATTAATGCAAATTGTACAGTAATGTTACTTCTCCACAATATGGGCTCAATAAATGTTAACACTTTTGTTTATTAAGTGTATATTAGAATATTTTTCGAATCCCTTATAAATGCAATGCATTTGAGTAGGACTTGAGGAGAGAAATGACTGATTCTCTCTTTAGATTTTTGTTAAAATGGTAAATATATATCTATAAATAACATCAGCCACACAACGTAAAACTTATTACATGGATTCAGGAGTCAAACTGTGCAAAAGAATTGCTTAAACAATCTGGAGTTTTGTTTTCTAATCTTTTAAATTAGGTTAACAATGGTAACTATCTCATAGAGTTGTTTTGAGAACTAAATTAGTGAATATTTATAAAGTACTTAAAATAGCATCTGGCATGTCCTAAAAATGAAACCCATGGTGAAAAAGAATATATGTCATTTGGTTAAGAATTGGGTGGATGTGCTTCTATCCAGAATACACAAGTAACATTTCATAGAGTAGTCAGCATTTGAGCTAGGCTTTAAGTGTTGGTGACTATCTGAGCAAACAGAGTAGTAAAGAAGAGAATTCTATTGATGAAAATGGAAGATGAAGGCCCAGACCAGAAATCCAAGGGTTTGCAAAAGGCATAATAATCTTCTACATTAGCTGAAGTGACAATTATGGAAGAAATTAAAGAAAACATTAAGAAGTTAAGTTAGAAAACAGATCCTGGATATTATTAAATGCCTTTATTGTCCTGTGTATTAAAGGAGAGGACAATTAATCTGGTAATACATGTAAGATGGAGACATAAAATTATAGTAGGAAGACCAGTTTTGCAGCATTCTGGCAAAACAGGGAAAATAACCAAGGTTCAGAAAGAGAACATTGAAAGTCAATGAAAATTAAAAAAAAAAAGATATTTAAAAAATACTGCAAACATGAAACAGAATTTTGTAGGAGATAAGAGAGTGAGAAAATTTAAAGATAATTCTGATGTTTCTATACTATGCCTCTGAAAATGGTCCTAATATAGAAGCAACAGTTATATGGTTAATATTTCACATTTAGACACATAATAGTATTTTTCTAACTTCAAATTTTAGTTTTATACAAATCTTATTAGCAGATGGTTTGTGACTATGACACACTACTTCTCTTTGGGGAAAATATACTCACATATAAACACAGATACCCCATAACCACCATATCACATTCACTATTTTGTAAAAGAACATTTGTACTCTTAAAACAATATTTAACTGTCTAAATACTGCAACAAAACAGCATATTTATTAATAAAAAGTTAAAACATTGTTTCTGTTTTTCTTCCCTTTCCCATCCTTCCTTTTACTTTCCAAAGCAACTCAGTCATAAAACTATCATGAAGCACACTACAAGGAAGGCATGTGTACTAGCGGGTCTCAGCTAGGCAGCCATGGAGGATGAGATCTGATTATCAGAGCTGAGTGTTGGAAAGTGAAGAGGGTGAGAGAAGGTTAAAGAGGGGGCTTTCTTACTGACCAAATAAATAATAATAGTAGTTGATTTTAACTCACTGTATAAAATGGGAAGTCATGAGTCTATTCTGTTGTAAATAAAATAAACAAATGGAACGTTTGATAAGGAACTTGGGTATTTATATACTATCAATGTGCCTATAAAATATTTGTTAATTTCAAAGAATAAAGAGTACCTCTACAATGGAGTAACCTGGCAGACACAATCTTACTCAACTTATCAAAGTGATCATCATTAGTACTGAGAAAAGTCAAAATCATATGTCACCTAATAAGATACACAGAGAACTCAGTATAGCCTCTGTGATATTCCTGGCAAAGATACATGACCTGTATCTAATAATAAGGAAGCATAAGCTAACTCAGATTGAGGAACATTCTACAGAATGGTTTTCTGGTAATCTTCAAAGGTTTTAAGATCATGAAAGTCAAGGAAACACTGAGAATGTTACACGATCGAAGGAGATTAAAGAGTGATGACTTGGGTGATTCTGAACCTGATCAATTTGCTATGAAGAACAATATAAAGATCACTGAAAAAACTTGAATGGGATTTAAAGATTAAGTGGCCATAATGAATCAATATTGATTTTCTGATTGTGACTTTTGAATTACAGTTATGTGGGAGCATGTACTTAGTTGTAGGTACCCTAAAACTTAAAGTAAAAAAAAAAATAGAAAAAAAAAGAAGACACACGCTAATAAATTTAACAGGTGATTTATAAGAAATGTTTTTTGCTAGAAATTGAAATTCTCAAATTAATAAAGTTCATAAGAGAAATACAATCTTAATATGGAATTACCAGAAGGACCTTCATGTATAAACTTAGAATATAAAAACATAAGAGGAGATACAAGTGTAATTTGGTCAACTACTGTAACTAAAGTCTTGTAGCAGTTGGGCAGTTTGGCTCATGCCTATAATCCCAGCATTTTAAGAAGCTGAGGTGGGAGGATTACTTGAGACCAGAAGTTTGAGACCAGTCTGGGCAACACAGTGAGACCTTGTCTCTACAAAAATTTTTAAAAAGTAGAAAGGCATGGTGAGATTTACCTGTAGTCCTAGCCACTTGGGAGGCTGAGGCATGAGCTAAGGTTGACATGAACTATGGCCTTGCCACTGCACTCCAGTCTGGGTGACAGAGCAAGACTCTGCCTCTAAAATAAATAAATAAAGAGAACAGAAAAGAAAGAAAGAAAAATAAATAAAAAGCCTTGCAGTAATGAGAAAAAAAATTTAAGATAAAGAATATGATTCAAGCATAAACCATCAGTGGAAAACTTCTATGTTTAGAGAGAAAGCTAAAGGAACTCGGAAGAAAAGCTGAGAGCAGAGATCATGAGGAAGACTGCAAGTTATGGAAGGGATTGTTTTAAAGAGAAGGATTAGTGTGTAAAAAACAATGAAATGATAAAAGAAATGGACTGAGAAAAGCTCACGTATTTGGTAGGTAGATTATTGTTGGTTATCTTTAAGAAAGCAAATTTTTCACATAGGTGTGAGGGCAGAAGTCCTATTTCAAAAAGCTAAAAATTAAGTGGGTGGTGGGAATTTGATCATTTGTCATCAAACTTTGAGTGTGCTTGTGCTTTGCACTTTACTTCCACTCAAACCATGGAGGCAGTAAAAGACTCTGGCTTCCACTAAATGAATGGTTTGACTCAACATTTTCAAGCATTTTGGTACTTTCTTCTTTTCTCAGGGTGTACTATACATCAACAACAAGTAAGAATTTCCTAGATCTCACAGTAATAAAGTTCATGTTTTACTCTTCCTACATGTCCACAGTAGGTTAGTAGGGGCTGGGCTCATCATAGTCATTGAGGTTTACAGGCTGATGAAAACTCATCTTAACAGGTGCATCAGTATGGTAGAAACAGAAAAAAGAAAACACATAAAAATATTTGTTATATCTTAAACCATTTGCATTAAGAAACACAATTCACTTTTACTCACACTCCATTGGCCAAAACAAATCACGTGGTTCACAGAATGGGAGTAATATAATCCTCCTACAGAAAGGACAGTATACACTCAAAGCGAAAAGAGTTAACAGAATATGTATGGAGCCAAATGATATCTTTATTTTGTGTATTTATGGAATTATGGAACCTCAAAGTTATAATGGACCTCAAAGAGTCTTTAATGCTGTGGCTATTGAGCTTAAATACCTACATGCTACTTTCCTTAGGAGAAATCCCTTATGCACACCCAATATATAAACTAGGTAAAGTCCATCTGTCCTGCTTAAGCATGATTGGAGTCTCTAGAGCACCATCTCCTTGTCTCTCCCTTTATTACCAAACAGGATTATTGGCAATTGGAAATGAATACCTAGAAATTTACAGAGTACAGTTTGAAAGCCAATGTACTATACTATTTGATATTTGATGTAGGATCCTCTCTATAGCACCTGCAAGTCATAATTATCTATTTCCCGGTTTTGGTTTGGAGAATTCCAGTAAAAAAAAAAAAAAAAAAAAACTCACTAACTCCGAAGATTCATTTCCACTGAGACAATACAAACTCTATCACTGAAAAGTCTCATCTAGGTAGAGAAGCCAACTTCATGATAAAAATATCAAAGCTATCTTCTATATTGTGCAATTAGAGAAGTAACAGGAACCAGTAAAGAGATATGTCACATAATGAATCAAGCCTAAGGTCAGGAATATATCCTGGTTTTGATTCCAAATGCATTCTCTGTCCACTGCAATATATGGCTAAAATTTAAAAATAATATATTTTAAAATATGATGTATGCTCCTAAATAATGTTTAAGTTTCAATAAATGTTAAAAGAAAAATTTCTTAACAGTGACTTGTTCATATTAAATATTCTATTAAGTATTGTTTAATTTTGAACCTATTAGAATGTCGTTTTCCATTTATATCTCAATTACTGTTTATTGATTATTGACTTATGAGGGGTTCTAATCTATGTACTTGATATAGAACAGAGGACAAAGCACTTACCTCCTGCTGGCATGGAGATTAAATTCTAGAGGTGATGAACTATTAAAGTAGAAATGTTATGAAACATATAATATAGATTTTTCTAGTACCCTTAAAAATATATTGCATATGCATTTAGTTATTTTTAATTTTATATTTATTTCTTTATATTAATGGTTTTATCACAATATAGATTTTCTTGATAGACATTTTATATTTAACATTAAATGTTACAGGTGATCAGTTCTCTAAGAAGATACAAAAATACCTGTATTTTTGCCCTTTTGGTTATCACCTATGTTTATTCTGAATAATTTTAGTGGAAGATCAATGCTCTCCTTCACCACAACAACTAAACCTGTTATGGTAAATTCTAAAACAATTTATGCCATTTTGACATATTTATTCTAATAATAATCCCATGCAGTTCACTGAAAAAGAAGACAAAGTAAGCAGAGTATAATGTATATTCCAAATCATTCTTTTTAATTAGTTAATGACTGTTACATCAAGAAATAGGTGAGCTCTTTGTTACAGATACCTAATTTATTCATATAATTTAGCTGATTCAAAGGGTAATGCAGTACATTTCCCTTGGTACTAAAAATTTTAATGATCAAATATGAGAATAGGGGAAGAAAGATGTTTTGTTCTTAAAATAACTATTATGTTAAACCCTCTCAAAAGAACTTTCAAAAGAAAAAGCAATTAAAAAATGAATTGACCTAATTGTATAAGCCATCTGAAAACTACATTTCCTTTCTTTCATGGATATCTTGTTCACCTTCATACTCTTACCTTGAGTTGGGTGTTTTCTTTGTTAACTGAAATCTCTTTGATTCTCAGTGTTTATACTATGTATCAGAAATCAGCTATTTTTGATTCCAGCTTGTAAGCCTTATTTTTGAAATTGAGAAAATTCCAGTCTTGTTTAATAAAAAAATTCAACAAGTTAGTAAATATAATTGTAAATTTATAATCATTTTTCACAACGATTACCATTGTGTTTACCAGATATTTCCATATTAAATTCCTGTATCATTCATTTCTTATCTTCATGGATTACTGAGTATGCATCTGTCTTGGAAATGCTATTTTGGAACTGTTGATAGACGTTTGAAACTACTGTTTAAAATATATATATAAATAGAAAATATATTTATCAGCACTTCTACTCAATAATTTCATTTATCAGTTTTCAGAAAATAAAGTATGTTTCTTAAAATGTGCCTGTAATAAAAATTATCTAATGTGATACTGAATATTAAAAAACAAGCAGTGATTTTTAAAATGATAAGCTTCATATCCATATTTTGACTAATGCAACAGGATATATATATTATATGAAATATATAAGATATAATTATCTTATATGTAAAGTATATAATTATGTATAAATATATCATACATATCCAGCAATTGTATATGTATGTGTATATATAGTATATATGTACATAAGTAAATCTATGTACACATATCTATGTGTATATATTAGATTAATGTATATATGTATATATATGTACATATATTAGATTAATTTATACTCCCATGACTTAGGACATTCCATGACTTATAGGCAAAGCTGGGTAAGGCTCAAATATGTGTCCCTTTTGTTTGATAATCATTCATCCACTTTTAAAGATGATATTCCAGATTAATAATATCATTTTACAGAAATTAATTTTGGGCCAGGTGCAGTGTCTCATGCCTATCATCGCAGCACTTTGGGAGGCTGAAGTCAGGCATTTGAGACCAGCCTGGCCAACATGGTGAAACCCTATCTCTACTAAAAATTAGCTGGGAGTAATGGTGCATGCCTGTAATCACAGCTACTTGGGAGGCTGAGGCAGGAGTATCGCTTGAACTCAGAAGGCGGAGTTGGCAGTGAGCTGAGATTGTGCCACTGCACTCCAGCCTGGGCCACAGAGTGAGACTCTGTCTCAAAAAAAAAAAAAAATTAGTTGTGAAATGTCAAAGTTATATAATCACATATAGTTTGACTTATAATGCTAAATTGATTCAAGTCTGCTAGCATAATAATTTATGACAATCTTGATGATTGGTGGGTAGATTCTACAGATATACCTATTTATGTTTGATAACTAATTAGACAATTGTATTTTTCTCAGTATTCTCAAGTAAGCCTGTCTGCATCTGCCCCTCAAACTCCATGTTTATAACATGTTAGAATGGCAATACTGATCCAAAACCTGACCATGAAGAGTTGAAGCATTTACACTGTGCTTTGGGATTTACAATTTACTTTTGATACTAGTCCTTGTGATCCTGTTATGCATGGTTAGTGTTCTTATTTTATAGATTTGTAAACTGAGGCTCAGAGAGAAAACTGCTTACTCAAAGTCACAAAGCTCTTAAAAATTAGTGACAATCAGGCTGCTAATGTGTATGTCTTGAGATGCTGTTAAAAGGGATTATTGCTAAAGGTAATGTTGTTAGCCAGTTTGTAACTGGAAGATGGAAAAAAACCAGTATTGGGGACTTACATACTATAATGGTGATTATCTTATTAATCATTTACTGAAAACAATGTCAAGGCACTTTATATTTGTCATCTCTATTAACCTCTGAACACATTTATGTGACAGTTATTATTATTCTCATGTTGCAAATGAGAATAATTGAAGGCTGGAGAGTTTAAGTAATTTTCCCATGGTAAAATAAGTAGTGAATATGTAAAGTTTCAATCTCATCTGCAACAGAGTCTATAACATGAGAACGAGTCCAAATCAGTCTATGTTTATGTTATGCACATTTTCAGTTCTAAGATTACATAAGTTCCAGGCATAAAGCCTGTGCTTAATTTTAGATACACTGAATTAAAGTCAGGATAAAAACTACACACTACACTGAAGAGTCTGAGGAAAAAGTCATATATCAAGTCATAAACCAAGAGAAAGAGGAGAGATGACTACAACATCAGTCATACTGAGAAAAGCTGCCTTTCTCAGCAAGTCAGGCCAAAAGGAGAAAGAGCTAGAGCCTTGGTTCATGCCCCAGGACACTTGCAGCCTCTGATTTCCTCCACTTGGCCATTTTGCATCTTTAATTTCCACACTAAAAGATAGACTGCCAAAGAAATAAAAGTTTGTACTACTCAGATGATAAATTCAATATGGTGAAAACACCAAAAATGACTATAACTTGAACTGCATTATGAGAGGTTTAATCTATTCCCAGAATTATTCCATTTCTTAAACTTTATATTTTATAGTCTGTAATATCTGAGTTCAAGAGTGGGATGGAATGAAAAAAAGCAAAATATTCCATATGTAATACTTTGAGCAGTATGGCGATTCCTCAGGGATCTAGAACTAGAAATACCATTTGACCCAGCCATCCCATTACTGGGTATATACCCAAAGGACTATAAATCATGCTGCTATAAAGACACATGCACACTTATGTTTATTGTGGCACTATTCACAATAGCAAATACTTGGAACCAACCCAAATGTCCAACAAGGATAGACTGGATTAAGAAAATGTGGCACATATACACCATGGAATACTATGCAGCCATAAAAAATGATGAGTTCATGTCCTTTGTAGGGACATGGATGAAGTTGGAAATCATCATTCTCAGTAAACTATCGCAAGAACGAAAAATCAAACACCGCATATTCTCAGTCATAGGTGGGAATTGAACAATGAGAACACATGGACACAGGAAGGGGAACATCACACTCTAGGGACTGTTGTGGGGTGGGGGGAGGCGGGAGGGGGGAGGGATAGCATTGGGAGATATACCTAATGCTAGATGACGAGTTAGTGGGTGCAGCGCACCAGCATGTCACATGTATACATATGTAACTAACCTGCACATTGTGCACATGTACCCTAAAACTTAAAGTATAATAATAATAATAATAATAATAAAAGACATAATTCCTTTTCTCAGTTTTTTAATATTTGAGATTGATTTATCACTTAGAGCACAAGCACCTGATTCAATATGATCAATAAATATTTGTTCAATTTGAAAAAAAAAGATTGATAATGAATAAGAGTTTAATTTATACGGATTCCATTTTAAATAGTTCCAACCTATTGCTTCTGACTAGCTACAAAATAATGTCTAGGATTTAGAGTACAGCCTGTATAATTAAACAATTTGTCTTTTGATCTTGATATAATCCTGATTTTACCAATAACTAAATATATAATGCTGGCCAAGTAGTTTAATGCCTCTAAGTCTCAGTTTTGAGCAAAATAACAGTACCTACTTTACAGTTATTCTAAGTATTAAATGAGATAATGTCTGTAATGTCCCTGGAATAGTAACTATAAGTGCCGTAACAAATAGCTGTTACAACTATTTCAAAACAACTGGCCTTCCACCTTGGCCTATAAAGACTTGAGCAAACAGTAACTGAGTTATTAGCAGCTCAAAGCTGCCTCCCTAGGATGACCCTAGTCCCTCTTAAAGTGCCTGCCTGAGAAAACACAAGGCTGTCAAAAGAATTTACTATTTATTGCAGGCAACACTTGAAATTAGTACCCCTGTCTCCTAGTCTTTGTGTAAGGGTAGGTGCCTGACTTCCATAAACATCAGCAAACCCAGACAGGTTTCACACAGACCTACCTTCTATTTCCACAGTTTGCAATGTTTCAATTTTCTGCCTCAACAGAGCTTCCATTCCCTCCCTCCCTACTCCTTTATTCTTAGGTGAAAACACCCAGTCACTGTACAAATTGAAGTTGAGATCAGTTTGTGCTTGACTATTGTTTCTATTGCAATAGTTATTACTGATTAAAATGTGTCCTTAACATTTTAACTAGTGTCCAGTTTTGTTTATTTTTGGCACCATTCGTGCTTCCCCCATGGTCAGCTCTTACCTGACAAACATAACCAGATAGTCTCAAAAGTATCCCAGTCTTAGATACACAAGGAAGTGCCCCTCCTGCAGCATCAGCTCAGAGTACCACCCTCTGGTCCCGTGACCCCAGAATCCTTTAGTGTTGTTGAGGTCTTTGCTCACCAAAAGACATCAGACGATGGCACCCTTTCTCCATGCCAAATGTTTATCTTACAGTGCAGCAATTCAAGACCACCATCCTTGTTTTTCAAATCCCAGATTTCCATGTACAATATATCCAATACCTTTACAAAGCTGAGAACACCAGAATACATAAAGTTTACTATTCTATATGATTTTTAAGGTTGCTTTCAACAGGCTACTTTTTTGCCAGCTATATTAGCATTGCTGATTTTTTAAAAAAGTGTTAATAATTATCTTGTTCCATAATGAAACAGATGATTAGAGTACAAAGTGGTATGCTGTGATTGAAATAGGTATGGAGCGCTATGGGAGCATGGAAAAGGCTAACACATTTGAATTATTATAGTAAGCTCTAGACAAGAAAAAGTAAGAAAAAGTATAAAAGAGATAAAGAAAAGTTCTCTTCTAAAGTGAAGTTGAGGGTGTAAACTTGGAATAACCGTGATTGGCAGGATGACAGCTTTCAACCCTGAGAATTTGAAAATCATTTATCTTGGCAAGGGAAAAGTCCTTAAATTTAGAATTGGGTTCAAATTTTGTCTTTATTATTTACTATATATAAAAATGAGGATATTTCTTCCCTGCTCTAAACTTTTGTTTATCTAAAATATTGGAATAATCATATGCAATATATTACAATGATTCATCTTTCAAAAAAATTTAAAAAAAATGGACACCATGACACAAGCTTCCCTCTGTGTTCTCTGAAATAAACCAGAAAAAGCCACCTATTACAGGGTAGTGGCTAGCCGCCTTGACCCTGGAGTCAAGTTTTCTAGGTTTGATTGCTGGCTCTACCAGGCACAAAATTTGCCTTGAGCAATTTACTTAATCTCTCATCTATAAAACGAAGATATTAGTAGTTTCTATCTCATATGGCTGGGAATTAAATGTGTTAATGTGTGTGAACATTTAGAAGAGCCTGTGGTGTCCTAAACATTCATTTTCAGGATATGCACCTGCCTCTATTGTTCCTCTTCAGGAGCTCGGAGGCTGTGCATCGCAGCAACTCCTGTCTCTACTAGGTTTGATTAATTACACAATTAAATCAAATCCCATTTTGTGTATATTGCATTCCACCTATTTACTTTATCTTTTCCTTTGTCATTTAAATGCACTCGAATCTCTCTAACCTTAAATGATATTGAAAAAATAAAATCCTCCTTTAAAGCCGATTTCCTATCCAGCTGCCACTCTGCATTATTGTCTTCACAGTCGAACATCTGTAAGGATTTTCCTCGCTGTTCTATCATTCTTCACCTCATTCCAACCTGTCCACTGACCCCTCTACTTGGGGAGCTTTTGCTTATACGTCTTATATGTCCAGGAGATTTTTTCCAATATTCACCTTGCCTGATATTTCAGAAACATTTCATATTAACAATAACTACAACCTCTAAATAAAATAATAATAATAATGGTAATAAAATTAAAAGCACATTTCTTTATTGGATATCACACTCCCCTGGCATTATTCTTACCCCTCTAACTCTTTCTTCTCAGTCACTTGGATAATCTATATTCTTTTATCCAGTCTTAAATTTTTTAATTTCTCTGTCCCTTCTCACTGCAATGTCTTAAGTTTCACGCCATACCCAAGGCCTCAGTTATAAGTTATATACCATGACACTAAATATGTAAATATGATTCTGAATCTCAGCTGTCTCTTTTAAATGCTAGCCACATATATCCAACTGCCTAGTTGTATGTTACCATGTCTAAAAGTGAACTTATAATTTCTTCCTCTCCTGGCTTCCATTGGGTTGAACCGTGAAAATATCTTTACAATTGTTCAAGGTGAAAGGCTGAGAATCTTTCAAGATACCCTCCTCTCTCCTCCTCAATATCATGAATTCTGATGCTCTATCAATTTTGCCTCCTAAATAACTCAAACTTTCTCTTAGCACCTTCTTTGCCAGTATCCTAGTCAAAGCTATCATCATCTACTCCTTGAATTAATGCAACAAGCTTGTGGTTCCACTATCATTGTGCCTTTCAAATCCTTTCCCCACGGAAGAGGAAAATCAATAATTTAATAATGCAAATCTGAATATGTCTTTCTAGCTTCTAATATTTCAATGGTTTTCCTACTTTTAACACATACAAGGTTCACCATTAGCTGATTTTGACTTCTCTCTAGCTTTACCTTATAATACCCTCTCATTATTTCTTTCCACACTGACCTTCCATCATTTTCTCATGACCAATACTGCTTTTTGTCTTAGACCATCACACCCTGTGTCCCCTTTGTCTGAAACATTTTGTCTTATTTTTCTCCCTCTCTTTTTTTTGTAGCTAATCACTTCTCTTTTAGATCTCAATGAAAACATCAAAAACAAGTGTTTTCAGAGAAATACTGAAGACATTTATCTAGACTAAATTAGATCTTGCACTTCTCATAGCACACTGCCTTTGTCCTTCATAATGATTAACGATTATCATATATATATGAGATGGAGTCTCATTTTGTTGCCCAAGCTAGAGTGCAGAGGCCCAATCTTGGCTCGCTGAAACCTCCCCCTCCTGGGTTCAAGTGATTCTCCTGCCTCAATTTCCCAAGTAGCTGGGATTGCAGGTGCCCACCAGCATGCCTGCTATTTTTTTTTTTTTTTTTTTTTTAGTAGAGAAGGGGTTTTGCCAACATTGGTCTGGAACTCCTGACCTCAGGTGATCCACCCTCCTTGGCCTCCCAAAGTACTGGGATTATAGACATGAGCCACTGGATTATTGTATTTTTACTAACCAGTTTTCCCACCAGACTGTAGATTTTGATGACAGCAAAATTGCGTCTGTTTTGCTCACCATTAATTTCCATAATTTTTATAGGCCCATAAATCCTAATTTGTAGCAAAATTTATTAACGTAATTATTTTCCTCTAGTTTCCGAAAGTACCACTCTGGACTGAGCATAATCTCATATTTTTTAAAAATGCAAAACTCAAAACACAACAGACAAAAACCAATTAAACACTTCACTTTTAATTGTTATTAAAGGCAATGCCTAAAACATTTTTATAAATTAGAATTCCTGTCATTGATTTAATCATTTTCCTGAATTACACAAAGTTCAATTGACTGATTGTTAACACATGGAGCTTGCATTAATCTATCACATTGAGGTCATTCAATGGAAGAGGTACCTACAGCCAACAGCAGAATAGTGTCATCAAGATATTTCTAGGATAATAGATAACATATGAAAGAACAGATCTGACTCTTTTTATATTTTAATAAACTTTCCTAGTGTCACAGTGAAAGTTCCTCAATGACTATTCCCCTCAAGTTCTCTCACAGTGAAATCCCATCAGACTTTAGTTTGCTTTATTTGCAAAACAATAGTACAAATCTCTCCTTAAATAGGTTAGAGACACATACACATCAAAAGACCAAGTGTAATTCCATCAGGTCCCAGAACTTAGAGGTTCAGTTTCAGGTCACTAGCACCATTTTGTCTGTCAGGGCAGACAAATTGATTCAAGGTAGAAATTGTATTTGCCATCTAGATTTTGGATAAATATGTAAATTTCCCAAAATTTGTATTCTAATTTACCTTTTTTCAGATTACTTTTCACATAATGGCATACCTGCTCTTACATATGATCCATATTCTCAAGTGAATTAGAAATTGACTAACTATAGGACACATTCTTCAATATGATGCTCTGTGATTTGTGTACCTATAAAGGGCAAGCAAGGGATAGCAAGCAGGGGATAAGGAATTTCCAAACAATTAATAAAATAAAATCTAGTTATTCCTCTAGAATTTTTCTAGTTCTCACGCTGGCATAAAAATAGAAAGAAGATAAGGATATAACTAAATAAATGTTTCTCCCCGTAAGATGATTTTATTTTCTAATTTCCCAACTGCTTTCAAGTTACTGCAATTTATGAAGAATACATGTGTGTGTATATATGTATATTATATGTAATATTATATATTATATATAATTATCTTAGGTTGGTGCAAAAGTAATTGCAGTTTTTGCCATTACTTTTAATGGCAAAACCCGCAATTACTTTTGCACCAACCTAGTACACAATTTATGAAGAATTTATACATATGTGTGTATATATTACATATATATGAATACATATATGTGTGTATATGTATATTATATATAACCAATTAAATATTTCATTTTTAATTGTTATTAAAGGCAATGCCTAAAACATTTTCATAAGTTAGAATTACCCTTATTGATTTTAGTCATTTTCCTCAATTTCAGAAAGTTCAATTTCCAATATTCTTAGGATATGGAGCTTGCCTTAAACTACCACATTAGAGGGTATTCAATGGAAGAGGCCCCTAAACATATTTTTTCATAAGTATATATTATCTTATATATATGAAATGTTATATAATATATTGCATTATACGTAATTTTTATATGTTATATATACATTCATAATATATAGTATTATAGCTATATTATATAAGTATACCTATAGATATATGTATATTCATAATATATTGCATTATAGGTATTATAAATATACATTTGTATATGTGTATATATAATATATATTATACATGCATATATAACATAATATATTGTATTATATACTATATTACTATATATAATATATGTATAGTACACATATGTACACACATATATATACACATATATTTTATATATATATATATTTATAATCCATTACATTTTCCACTCTCAATGTGAATCCACTGTTTAAGTCAGTATTCTTGGAGAAAAGTCTTTTATAGGAAAATCTTTTATAGGCTAGGATCTCTTTAACGACCTTAATGGATTGATAATTGTTGAGAAAAGCCTATATTCATTTTGGAGAAACTACAGCTATTACTGCAATAATATGTTTGTTTCAGTGTATTGGTGGAAAGATAGTAGAAATGTTTCCAGAGTCCTGAAATCCTTGCTTCAGCTCTTCTTATTTTTTGCTGAAAATTAATGAGTTGCGTAGGGTAGATGGTGTCCCCATTTAAATTGTTTGCTCCTGTCATCCTACCCTGACCCTATCTTGAATGCTATCAATACAATATTCAAAGGCTAATTTTCTATATTCATCCCTTAATATGAAACTATTTTGGATTCAAAATTGTATCCTTAGACCACAAGTCTTTCCACTTGCAAGTAACTGGAGAGTAAATTCTTCAGTGCCCAGATAAAGGCAAATTGTGGATTCTGTTTTTGTTTTTTGTTTTTTTGTTTGTTTGTTTGTTTGAAGAAAGGCCAGAGTTAATTTCCATTAGTGAGTGAGAATTGCCCTTTGTCCTCAGGAACCTTGGAACATTGCATCTCTTTCTAATGTAATTGAAAAGCTGCTCTGTAAATTTCCCCTTGACCACACACATGTCTTTGCATGACCCATATCTTTTGCACATTATATTGTATTATAAATTTGAAGTTATATCCTGTATCTACATTCCCTTTGCTCAGCCCCTCTGGGGCTAGAATCTGATTATCACTTCACCAAATAAGAAGAACATTTTGACCTTAGAGTCATAGAATCTTTTTCAATCATCAGGGGACAATTTTCCTTTATTACCAAAGTATTACAGCACAGCTACCCAGCCTCCTGACATAATTTCCAAGGCTTACTGAATTTCAGGGATCCATTATTTTCTCCCTGGGAATTGTAAGGACACTAGCTCCTGAAATCTTTGTGTTCTCATTGCATTTTGAATTCCCATCAGCATACAGTCAGGCACTACATAATGATATTTCAGTCAACTAAGGTTTGTAGCCTAAGAGCATTAAGCTATACCATATAGCCCAGGTGTGTAGTAGGCTATACTGTGTAGAATCGTGTAAATATAATCTATGATGTTAGCATAATGACAAAGCTGGCTTATATGTCTCAGAATGTATCTGCATTGTTAAGGGACATCTGACTGTATTTTTCTATCTACCTATCTACCTATCTATCCTACTATCCATCTACTAATTGGTCAATCAAAACTGCCTAGGTTTTCCTACTTGTATATGAAGTATATTTCATTTATAATAAAGTACAGATATTCTCATGTGATCACATTCCCTCTGATTAGAACATAACATTCTCTAATAGTTTCATATAGATACCTCCACTGGGAAATAGTTTACATTTATCCAGCGTAAGCCAATAATAGATTTAGTGGTAAGACTAGTTCTGAAATTTGAAAGCACCCCTTCCCACCATCACCACTACAATCAACCATTTCTGGCGCTCCCTTTAAACAGGCAATTCCTCTTTCACCACCTATACTTCATTTCCACATAGTAAAATCCTCAGTAAACTTATACCACAGGACTCTCTCTTTTTGTATGCACTTAATTACAATAATCATAAATTTGCAGTTATTATTGCATGAAGGTTAAAAATTGCATTAAATGTAATGAAGCCAAGCAAAAGTACAGCTACAGTCTCTTTCACTAATTTCTATATTAGTTGATGCACCTCTCTCCTTGGCCGGTTGTTATTGAAAATTAGCTGAACATATTACATTATACAACCAACAACCAGATTATTTTCCTTTTGGGGAAGATGCACTCCTTCAAGTTGGGACTCACAGTTATTTTTCTTTAATTCCTTTACCTATGTCTGCTTATTTTCTAATCTTCCTATGATTTCTGGATAATCTGTATAGCAAGAAACCTTCCAAGCCCTGACTTAATGAATGCTACCTCTGTTCTTGAAAGTGTTCTTATAACTAGATAAGTTGCTGATGGAATTCTTTCTGTTTTCTGCCTACCTTCAGTGTGACACACTTTGAACTTTGATGTATTTCCTTTGGTGATATGGAGTAGAATCAATTTTTAATTCAAGAGAATAGAGAACATTAGCTACAACTCCACATTTTAGAGTATTTTTCGATGTATGACATTAAGGTCTAATAGACTTAGTAACATTTTGAGTTCATTGTAGTCATTCATACCTTCTTTCCTTGATTAGATTTTTGTTTAGCAACACTATATCAATTTAGAGTTTATAAAGAAGATATATTTACCTTATTTCCTTTAAACTGCAACTAATCTACCCAGATCTTATATCTTTTGAAGGTTACGTGTATTAACTTTGCCCTAATTAAAAAATCTCGAAATTTTTGGTGGCTTACATTGCCACTGAACATTGAGCCTTTCATCAATGTATAATCATTTCTCACTCGTGTTGTAAAGTCACTACCCGTCACTTGGCTCTTGTGGCTCTGCTTTAGTTCCACTCTCGAGCTAAAGAAACAGCTTCTGTTGCAAACATGCCATTCTCATGGGAAATAAAAATGACTCTTAAAATTTCTGCTTGTAAATGGCATCATTTATACATGGTCATATCCCATTGGACAAATCCAATCACATGGCCAAAAATCAATGTTAATTTGTCCATGAAGTATATTTCTCCTCTAGGGAATAGAGATGCGGAAAGTTGCAGGGCAATGAGAGAGGACACAGCGTTCTTTTTTGGAGAAGTGAGCAGTGAATACTTCAGAATAATAATAAGTTTATAGCAATAATCTATGTTGTTTTTAATTTGTCTGAGGTCCGCAGATATTGTGTCTGTTAGACAACTGACTATCTAAATATGTCTTTCAGAACTCACCCTGTATCGTTCCTAGTATTATAAGCATAGGCACAAGTGATTGGTACTACTGGAAAATTCTTAACTGCTACATGTCTTCACCTATTGGCAAAATCTTAATAATGCTTTTTAAAATTAGTTCTCCAATACCAGTATAATTAACTCAATTGATGAAACTTGCTCATTTCATCTATAAGACAGTCTCTACATATTGTATATTCTCATTTCCTGTGAATTTCAAGAGAATTGGAACTAATAAAAATCTTAGTACCGATAATGGAGTTCCAAGAAATCTGATCATTGTTTATCACCTGGAGTACCAGCTGATCACTGGAAATATGAGAAATAGCACACATGAGATATTTTAATCTTGAATCTATCCAGTTTGGGGGTATGTCAACATGATCTAACCTTTTATCTGATTTTAGCTTTATTTCCTAAACTTATGTATTTCCTAGAAGTAATTCATATTTTTACTAATTGTCTTTTTAAAATTAAAATATATCTTTCAGCTGATGTCTGTAATTATGGTGATGGTACTATAATTTTTTAATTGTAAACATTATGATAAAGCTGGAATTAATTTTAACGTTTTAGAGTCTCTGTGTTATGACAGCATGACACATTGGTTCTGAAAAAAAAAATCCCTATTTTGCTCAGAATGTGGCAGGCCATTTCCATAGTAAGATCACGTGGTGATTTTGATGGCTTTGTATTACTGGTAGTAGTGTTCACTTAGTATCCCAGTATTGTTCTGCTCTTACCTGGCTATGTCAAGTAGCTTTTGATGCTCCATGGTCTATATTCTAGCATCAACATAATTCCATATTTACTTTTATTTGGTGTGTCTCTTTCTCCTTTCTCTTAGATCTATCTAGTAGACCTATTCTTAGTACCAAAACTGGGCATACAGCCACACTTCCATTCTTTCTGCTTATTATCTCATAAGTACATCTTCCTAATATCGTTCTCCTTTCAGCATAGTGGAGGTCATTAGAGCTGTAATGTCAATTAGCTATTGACTGCCAAAAATATGTGTTACTTTCACAAATCATGCACACTGATACTTCCTTGAGAATGATAATTTAATCCAAGATGCAGCTTCTGTTGTTACAGGCACCACATGTCCTATTTGCCCAGTTCAGTCCTAATCCGTATTTATTGTTTCTTGGTAACTATTAATAGCATTCCCTTTCACGCTCACAAGTGTCCCAGTTTGGAAAATAAATTATATTGTTACTCTATTTATTGTAGATATAGTGTCTAATTCAAAGATAGACTTAACCTTGACTTTTTTTTTATACATTTCTTCTCAGGACTTCCCTTTCAAAATAAATCCATACATTTCCCAGGCATGCTCTTTCATTAAATGTGGCATCCTGATTTCCCCTCACTACCAAACACAAACTGTGTCACTGTAAAACACATTGAATAAAATCTGAAAAACACACAGAATAAAACCTGAAAAATGTTGTTCATTATTTGCCTACATTTTTCCATACTGGTACAGAAGTATTATGTAGTTGCTTTATCCATGTGTAAGTGGTTACCCAGTTGAATGCATTATTGCTCTTTTTATGTTTTACAGCTTTCCAAGGTTGTTGTAACTACCTGGGTCACTCCAGTTCACTGTCTGGGATCGTTCTGGAATACACTGTTAGTAAACAGGCTGACAGCTTATAACTAATTAGCTGCCTCAGTCCAGCCCTATATGTAAGGGGTTGGGCCATCTTTCATTGTTGCAATTTTTCCTTTAGCATATCTCTCATTTTCCTTTCACATATGTATTTCTTACTCTCTAAAACCTCCAATATCTTCATAAATAGGTCCCTCTTTACCTTTAATTAATAATGAGTTCTAACATTATCAGGGCTAAGGTAAATACACACACACCTTTACATACATACTCTTAAGAGGGAGAAATTCTCATAGTCATTGTACCTGCTGAGGAAAAAACAGATTAAGAAAACACCCTCCTCCAATTTGTTAATTGTGGGTGCAAATCCTGACCAATTTTCAAATTCTACTTTGTATTCACCTTATGAAGAAAATCATTTGCATTCCTTATGCAAATCAGCAAATGAGTCAAAGTGGAATATAGATATAAGAAAATATCTAACAGAAAGAGCCAAAGTGGCAAAGTGGAGGAAGGAGAAGAGGGCGTAGTAGTGACTTGAGCTGGGATATCATAGTAGAGTATTTCTGGTGGAAGAAGGCGGAAAAATGGAAGGCTTAAAAAAACCTGGGATGTGACACATTTTAAGAGACGAGGAAATCAAGTAAAAATGTTTTCAGATGTTGTGCATTAAATTTTTATGATATCCTATGAGCCTGAAGTAAAAAATAGGAATTTCTTTCATTTAGTTAAGCATTGATTTATTAATTTACTCAACTTTTATTATATTCTTTAAATGTGCTTCCATCCCACCTTTGAATCACATAATTATTACATAGATAGTGTTATTTGACTTTGTGTTAATTTGACTTCCAAAAGCCAATATATTTTAGGTCCAGATTTCTTGGCAAATATGGGGGCCTTATTCTATGGATATAGAAAGTCTCTATGTACTTAGGACCACTATTAAAAAATCCATTAATATCTCATGATATCACTCATAAACTGGGTCTCTAAGTTCCACTGCTCTAATTGGCACTGATTTAAAACACAAGCTTCAGCCAAGTTGGGTTAACATAGTGAAGTAGACGGATACTTCAGAAAAATTTCTGGAAAGCCAAATGAATTCCTAGACGTTATTTCAACCATGGTTCTCTTTCTGAAGCATAATTCCATTCAACAACAATGATAAAAGGTAATCAAATTAGAAAAAGTCAATATAAAGTGATCTTCCTGGATCCCAAACCCAAAGCCAAAAATGTAGTGCCTTCTAGACTTCTGCACAAGTGTCTAAATAAAATTCTCAAACCTCACAGATGTACTTACTGTTTGGGGATTTCGTACGTTCTTCACACACTGCAACACTGATATCAAGTAGAATCTCTGAGATTTTCGATCTTGAGCATAGGCTGAACATGAAGGACAAATGGTTACTTTGTGCCCTAGGTGATGCCAGCAAAAATCTGTCAATTAGTGTATTAGGAGCCAAGAAGAGTGTCTCAAAGACACACTGCATCATCATGGTGCCAAAGGTGACTTCTTAAAAGATAATGGAGAAATAAGCAAAACTTAATGCAATTTTTTAGCCAAGTGTTTATTTTTGATGCATAGATTTTTAAATTTGTGGTAATTGACTTATTGAGAATTATTCAGTTACTTTTTTAAATCTGCCAATTGTTACACATTTTATTAAGTAATAACATATGTTCAAACCCATTTTTGGATGAATTTCAATGGAAGAAATTGGCTAAAAATGCTCTATATACCATTCATGGGGGTAACCTAGAACAGCTAGTGAAGCTCCTGCTCCACTTGAATGACCCACTCCACCCCACAGCCACCAACACTGTCTCCCATGGCCCCAGCCCTGTACAATAGCTCAAGGACCTGGGTATTACAATGGACAGTCAAGGTGTCCAATGGAATGATTTAGTTGCTTCCATTTTGGTTTGGTCTGTGGCCTAGTGTAGAAGCTTAGACCAAAACAATGGCCTCCTATAAATTGATTTAGCACTGCTACTCAGAGTTTTGGCATATTTTTTCATACATAGTACTAAATATATGTTAAAATAATAAAAGAAGGAAAAAGGAGAGAAAGAAGGAAGGAATGGAATGGAAGAAAAGAAAAGAAAAAATAAAAAAAGAAGAGTGAATGAATGAATACTTGTTCCAGTGTAAGAGAGGAAACCCAACAATTATAATACAGCAAATCAGAGCTAACATGGACATAGGCCTAGAAGGCTAAGAGAGAAAATAGAAACCTGACTCTAAATATCTATGAAATCTTTCCTGAATAGAAGGCAATTTGTTAGATTTGAAGTATAGCTAGGAATTTCTTAGCTAGATAATTGGAATTGTATCCTCTGGATAAAGGAAACAACACACATGCCACGTCTTAGGTCAAGTCCTCTAGAAGTAGAGCATGAAATGGGGATTTTACTTCTAGCGTTTCATCAGGAATGTGCTCTTAAGAGAAAGGGGGAAAAAAGAGAAAGGGAATGAAGGAAGTAGAATAGGAAGAGGAGAAGTGGAAGCTAAGTAATGTAATCTCTGTGTGAGATTACACTGAGTCTTATCACACAGGAAATCTCTGTGGACCAAATTTCAACAAAGAGTCCTACCTTGAGGCAGTCGTTCATTGCCTTCATTCCTCTGAGGTAGGATAGAGTCTATCAGGTATGGGGATTCCCGTTAGGATAAGACAATTTTCTGGAGAAGGGGATAATTGTGCTTGTGCGTTGTTACTGGCCAGGTGATTCCTGTTAGGTCAAGACAAGTCTCTGGAGAAGTGGATAATTGTGGAGTTGTTACTGGCCAGCTGATTCCTGTTAGGTTAAGACAAGTCTCTGGAGAAGGGGATAATTGTGAGTTGTTACTGGCCAAGACTCACAACAGCTGGGGGATAGGAGAAACAGACTGTACAATGGATCTGGGTGGAGCACCAAAAGCAGCCACAACAAGTTACCTCTTTTGTCATTCAACTCTGTCTCTAACATTAAATTCATTTCATTCTGGCAATTTTTTCCAAAATTTCAATGACTACAATGTCTGGAATAACTTACAAAATGAGGAAGGGTGTGATCGATTGTAGCCCTTGCTATGCAATTGCTATTGAACTCCTTGCTGCTACTCATTATCTCTCCATTTTGGATTCCTCTTAAAATCTAGATTCCCATTAGGTGTTTAGTACTTTTGCCTATCTAGGTGCTTCACAGGGTAGCTTGACCCAGACCTTCATGAAGGGTTACCAGGCCCTCATTGAGCTATAATTGCTATACTTGCCTATTTGGAGTTAAAAATAGACACAAGAGATTCTGTGACAGGTCACCTAAATACAAACCAATTTCTCTTTCCTCCTCTAATGTGGCAGCAGTTGCTCCCCTCATGATGCTCAGGATCAATTACTTGTACCAGAACATTAACTCCTTTCTTCTCTTGTTGGCCTGTTAGCACAAGGAGCCTAAAACGGCCAGCTAGTGGCTACAGCCTAAGGTTTAGTGGGACTCCTACTGTGCCCATCCAGTGGAAGCACTTTTCTTCTGGAAACTAGGAAGGAGAGCCACAAATTACTCAAGCAGGTCACTGGTAGTGTTAGGGGGTGGGGTCACTCCTACTTACACCTTTTGTTTTCTGGGCTCATGTATTCTACTGTGATATGGGCATAGTACCATATAATGGCATTGGATTAAGATATATATTCTATCTTGAAAGATAGAGCCTTTTTCCCAAGATTATCATCTCCTAGCTGGCTTCTCAGCTGTGTCTTCAGAATGCTATTTCATTGCTCTGTCAGAAAGAAACTTATAATGCAGCATTTGGATGGAGCAAATGGATTCCATTGTCATGTGCTCAGTATACATTCTTTGCTGGCAAGCAGGTTCCTTGGTGTGAAGAGATGTTATGTGGGATCCCATTTTGGAAGATTAAATAATCTAGAAGCCCTTGGATAATGCCTCTGCAGGCTCTATAGGCAATAAAGGCAAATTCATGAAAAAAATTTGACAATCTCAATCAACATGAAATATTGCTTGTTCAGTGTGAAAGGGATCTGATCTAATCAGCTTGCATCTAAGAAGCTGGTTGTTCTATTTGATGAAGGTATCATATTTGGAGCTCAGTTTTGGTCTCCACCATTGGCACGTCATTTATTCTGTAGCATAAGTAGTCAGCACTTGGTTTGAAGAACCCTGTGCAATTGGGCCCATACATATCAGATACTTCTGCCACCATAGCATTAATATTCAGGAATCCAATGCATAAGCACTGTGTTAACTTAGAACATAGACTGGCAGAAATGTATTGGCTGGATAATCAGTTCTCTATTTACTTGTTTAGTGATGCTTCTTGTGGGCACTGATTTGTGATACAAAGATCTTCACACTTGTTTCCTGTGTCCATAGGTCCATCCACATACCTCTTCCCCAGGTCTCCTTGTCATCACTATTTCAATATCACTTTTTCCAATAACCTGACCCACAAAGCAAGCCAATCTGTATTGCCTAAGAGTATGTGTACCCTTTCTTAGGCTTTTCTATCTCCACTGAAACCACCCTAGTCTGTGCACATTGAGAGAATTTCTTTTACTGCTCTCATTCAGGGCCGTTTTTGAGAACAGTTGTTGTGAAAAACAAAAAAAAAAAGTCAATATTTAGCTTATATTGTCATACCAAGCTGACCCACTTATGAACCAAGTTCAGGTGTTTTCCTCCTTCATCAGCTCCTCATAGAGAGGCCATGGGGCCATAGCTATCAATTGAGGAAGAGGCACTGGTTTAGCATTAGAAGGTGACATGGGGGGCCAGGCGCAGTGGCTCACGCCTGTAATCCCAGCATTTGGGGAGGCTGAGGTGGGCAGATCACGAGGTCAAGGGATCGAGACCAACCTGGCCAACATGGTGAAACCCCACCTCTACCAAAAAACAAACAAACAAACAAAAAAAACAAAAAACGGGCGACGTGGGGTTTGGGGCCATGTTTAGGCAGCTTACTTGTCCTCTCTGGGTATGCTTGAGCTCTCTTCCATTTTGGGATGGATTGCTGCAGACCCACACTTACGACTTCGTGGATCTGCCAGTGTCTACCTCATATGAAAAGTTTAGGACATGTGGCCGCTTGCTGTCCCGTGATCAGATGCTCTTTCCAGTAGGTCACAGAAATATGCCAAGAGCTGATGTGCAAATATTTTCTAGTTTTCTGCTGCAGATGGACTTTCCTTATTCTAGAGCCCTTGCATTTCTGTACACTATGACTGTTTTACCAATACTTGTCAATCTTAGCAAACACTTGGTAATCCACATGACATATTTTTTCTACCACAGATGCCTCAGGTGCCATGGGATCTTATATAACCCAAACAGTGGGTCCTTTTATATCACAATTTAGAGTTGTTAACAAACCCTTTTTCTGTTGTGGGCCTCATTCAAATTTAGTAGCCTTATACAACAATGAATGGGTTAGAGCAGTATTCCACAGTGTGGAACATGCTGATATCAAAACCAAAAGATGTCTTCCAATCTTTTTTTTTTTTTCTTTTTCTTTTTTCTTAGCTTTCAGAGGCATAAGGTGTAATGACTTGCCTTTCAGTTTGGGGTGTAATATCCTAGCATGTCTTATACAATTGGACCCTAGAACTTTACTGATGTGGCAAGCCCTTAAGTTGTTGTAGGGTTTACCTTGCATGCTCTAGAGCACATATGTATTAGCAAGGCATTCAGAACATTTGCCATTTCTTGCTCATCAAACACAATTAATATTATGTTATCAATATGGGTAGATGAATGTGATATTTTTCAAAATGTCTGGAGCATCAGAATTCCTTTGGATTATATTAGAAAATAGGGCAGAGGAGTTACACAGCACTAGAAAAACAGAATGAGTATATATTAAGTCAATGTGAATTGCTTCTAATGTTTCTTCAATGCGTAAACTAAAGAACACATTCACCAGATCAAAGTCACAGGTAACGTTATCCCACATAAGAAAGAATACTACTACTGGCATGGCAACTATAATTAGGGATACTAATTTGTTAAATTTGTGGCAATCCACTGGCCTCTGCCATTATCCATGTGATTTTTTTTTTTTTCCAGAGGCCAGACTGTTGAATTAAATAGAGATATCATGGTCACAAACTACATCTTTCAAGTCTTAGAGGGTGGCAATAATTTCTGCCACTTTTCATGGGAGACAATTTTGCTTTGAGTTTTCTTGACTAAGGGTGAGGGAATTTGAGTAATTTTAGGACTTCTGATTCACCTTTCCTCCAATAACAGGTCCAGGTCAAGGAAACTGAGCTGAACTTTTCTGTCAGCTGCGAAGCATGTTTATTACAAGTTTATACTTTAGAACCGGGACATTATCACTGGCCATGTCTTTGCAAGCTAGGCCTGGTCCAGGACATAGTTTCTTAGTTAAGATCCACGCCCTGCCTTATGTTATTTTGTACCGGTGTTCATTTGCACACTGTATCCACCAGCCCTTGAAAGATTCGGATATCCCAATTTACCTCATGTATGGTTATGTAGGCAAATAATAGTAGATCTCTTAAGAGAAAAACTGAGGGAATCTCTACTGTGTAGATTTTCTGAGATATGAGTGTCTTTCCACATAACCACCTGTTTTGTCTTCTGGTCACGGTTTCTGTCTGAAAACATGATCAGGTCTGGAAATTAAGCAAGCTATTATGACTTTCCATGATGTTCGGGTGGCTGCCCTCAGCCTTTTGTTCATATATTAATTAATTTATATGCATACATATTCAGTATGTTTATTTGATGCCTGTCTTGCCCTGAGTCATTTTTATGTTCCTGTAACAATCTTCCACCCATAACATTTTTACCTTTCTGACCAATCAATTAAAGCAATATTTTATATGAAATATAAGTGTTAATGTCTTTATAACAGAAGCCTAGTTCTCTAATAATGTTTCCTACCATCACTCTAGATTTATAGAGGTCAGTCCTTACTGATTTTTTCAACACTACATTCCATACTGCATTGTTAAATAGAGTAGCCTCCTAGCTGCTTTGAGGAACGTGGCCATCTTGTAGTTTTTTTATTGTCTTCTATAGCAAACCCATTCTACCCCACTTAATTCCTTAATCTTTTGGATTATTTCCTCTGAGTTGATGATGGAAGTTCTTACATCTCCACTTTATTTAATTTGGAGTGTTGCTTTTTCAAACTTCCAAGAGCAACCTCATCCATTTATTAGTTATTATTTCTAATTATTATTATTATTTAGAGGTGTTGAAGTCATTTTGTGTACAATGGCTCTTTTCCCTTAGCAGGCCTAGCACTTTCTTAGTCTGGTAGTAGATCTCCTGGAGAGAAGAGGAAGTTTGGGACAGATCCTAAAGAGGGAAAGCCTTGTCTTGTAAAGCAGCTGTTTTATTTGTGTTATCACCACAGTCATCAAACAAAGAAAATCTCTATTTTTTCAACCAAGCATAATGAGCCAATTCCAAAAAAAACAGAGGTTAAGAGGAGATAATAATCTGAGAATTCAAGGTTCTGAAGTGCATATGCACAGACATCCCCATCCTAAATCTCAAAGTTCCACTCTCCCTAAAGGACCTGACTTTGGCATCTGGGCCTAAAGTGACCTTTCTCTGGTGTCTGACATTCTTACAATTAAGTCCAGTGTATTGTCTTCACTGCTGATTTCCAATCATAGAAATTGATTCTCCTTGATATTTCCAAAGAAGCTCTCTGATGCTCACACTTTGGTTTAAATTGTTGATTAATAGATTTGAGCCTATATTGTAGCTCGATACATAAATGATGCTTGGTTACTGGCACCTGATTTCACAGTCACATGTATTAGACTCATCTTCGTATTCTGATAGGGGAGATATGTAACAGTGCTCTACAGATCAGAGGAAAAATGCATTGGAGAAATACATATTTAGAACAATTATAGTAACATATGCTCAGTCTCTGATGGGGTATTGATTGGTTTTAGAGATGACTCAGGAATAATTTTTGTGAATGTTGATTCTTGAGCTTTATGTTATTGAAAGATAAACTAAGATCCTCCATATATATATATATATATATATATATATATAGAGAGAGAGAGAGAGAGAGAGAGAGAGAGAGAGAGAGAGAGAATTACATTAATACTAATAGTGTGTCATTAAAGGATTTTAATCTGGGTAAAGAGATTATCTAATTTGTTGCCTAGATATATTATCTTGAGAATAGTTAGGTGTTTATTGCAATAGTTTAGCCATAATTGATGAACTTAACTAAAGAAAACCTAGAGACAATGAAAGGCTGGTTAATAAGAATGACTCATGAGTTTCTTGCTGAGTGCCTAGGAGGGTAGTGGAGTTGATGTCTGAAATGGGAAATGTAAGAAAAAAAATGTTGAATATATGGTTCCTATTATATATTTTGAGTTTCAAATGCCAGTGGAATCTGAGATGAATATTGCAAAACATTTGTTTTAAATGGGTGGCAACCAATCAGACTCTATTAGGGCATTCCTAAACATTGTAAACTAAAGGTGTAGAAGAAGATAAAGGACAGAACAATAGAAAATGCCCAAGTTTGAGAATTAAGAAGAAAAGGGTTTAGTTGTGACCATACTTATATTTTATGTAAGCTAAATGTATCAAAAAGCAAAGTGAAAGGTTTATCCCTCCTCTCATTTTCTTTTAAAATTAGCTGAGTCCTCCCTTGCACTATCAGACATAAATCAAATAACTGAGTCTTAGACAATATTGCACTTTTGATAAACTTTTAGAAAGGAAAGGATATGAACGCTGTCTAGAATACTTAATTATTACCTAAATTCACCAAGGCAACAATCAGCAAAAAAGTGTCATGAGCTAAAGAGTATTCAGAACAACTGCTTTCACCTTTACACAATGGGTCATGTTACTTCATTTTATTTTTGAGAAACAAAAAAGCATAACTATTACATAAAAAAGTAAGTAATTTTTCTAAATGAGATGTAATTTTCAAAACATCTTTTTATAAGATAGGAATAGCAACTTTTAATTATGATTGGGATTTGCACGGAAATACTGGTACACCAATTTAATCAAAAGCAGATGTTCCACTTTCAGTTGTTTTCCAAAATGAGGAAAGATGACAATAGCAACTTAGTAACAAAAATAATAGGGGTTGTAATATCTTACTAACATTCATTTTACTAGGATGCAGACCTTGCCATGGGTATATCTTTTGTCTAAACTAGGCCTAATTATGATAATAGATTGCTAATTTTGCTTTACTTGAAGTCACTCCAAAAGCTTAAATTCTTGCAAAATGTTGCTATTCATTTTTCATCTCTTCTTCCTTTGCCACTCATAATGATGATTTGTCACTTTGTTTTAAAAATCCAAGATGGTTCTATGACAAATAAATTAGGCAGACATCCCACACAGATTAGGTTATCATCAATTCCAGATTTTCCTGGGCATCAATTTCTCATTTGAATGTTATATTTTCCTTGTGTTTAATTCTTCATAGTCTGAATTCACTCTCTAAAGTCAGCTAAAAATCACAGGATTTTTTTTTGAGTTGTTTTGCTAAATTTTTCCATTATTTAATTCTAAAATAAACATAATGTTTAGAGCAAAGTCCCTTGAAAAAATATTAAAAGACCCACTTATTTTTGAGTCTGTTTTGCCCCCAGTAGTTCTTGCCACCTATCTTTTAATCACCTCGTTGTTCATTTGCAACAAATGGTAAAAAGAGAAATTAATGAAAGCAAATTTAATTTAAAAATTACGTAATAATTCAAATGAGGGAATAAAATGTCCTAACTGTGGCCCTGTTTAGGCTTTTAAAAAAGTGGCTAGAGAGCTGAGTATATATTCATCCGTCATACAAAAGAGTAGGCAACACAAAGCCTTTAGTGTATTTGCTGAATAATATAAAAAATTATGAAAAACTGTTATGTATCAAATGTGTAAAAGGGTAATTTAGAAGAATGTGAATAGTTATATTTAGTTTTAATTACATATAACAATGATTTTAACAGCTTGATAATAGGAAAAGTTGATGAAATTTTGACATTTAATTGTTGAAGAGTATTGAGAGTTTTAGGAGCAATTTTTGTTATTAACACGAAAGTTGAATACGATAAGAAGTTAATGCTTTTATGATGATGGCGATAGGCAGTGTTGACTATATAATTTGTCAGCAACCAGCAAAGCTTTCAAATTTCACAGGTTTTGAAAGTAAATATAATAATAAATATTTATGCTTTGAGTGAATTATTTATATTGCTTCACTTATGTTTGTTTGAAAATAAAAAAAGTTATCAAAATATTTTTTCTTTCCTTTTGTCCATATTTTTCCTTGCCAGCAAGCAACCAAATAGGCCACACTTCAAAGGGAGGTGTTGGTAACATTGCTCTGGAATTGGTTATACAGAAAATCGTGGTCACAGGTAATCTTAAAGATATAACTAAATGTTCAAGTATGACTACTAGACAAAACCATAGAAAGAACTAGTTTCACAAAGGACAGTTCTGCCAAACCTATATTGGCTTATTTTAATGCAAATATTAATACTAAGACTGAATTTAAAATTAAAAAAGTAATAAATGCTGAATCATATGATTTAAACTATTCAAATACATGTATGATAGGAATTCTCCTGGCCAAATTGGGATTTATATGCACCAAATAATCAGATGAAGAATGACATGTTTACATTATATCTGGATGAATAGCCAAGGGAAAAACTTTTGATATTTTCTAAAACATAAAGGTTTCTTTATGAAAGAAATTATAAAATATTTTATTTGAAATATAAAATTTTATACACAATATTTGAAGTATTCTTAATCATGACAAGTAGACCAAATGTACATTAAAATAATTATTTTCAAGGTTTTAGCAAGCAATGTAGTGTTTTTTCTTAAATGAGTACTTAAGTTATTCTGTTATTTGATTCATTTAAAAAAATTATTATCTATAATTTCCTATATAAAATTTGAGAAACATAAAGTGGGTTAAAAGTTTATGCTGTTAGTTGAGTACATTTCAATCTTAATATTTTATTCATGCTGAAAGGTTGAATTTAAATAAAATATGTTAATGGAAAAATATTATTAACATTCAAAACAAAATATATTATATTGGTATCACACAATCTATTTGGCTTATTTCAACAAGCTCATTAATGTATCTTATTGTATATGATTATTATTTATTTAAACAGATACTTCTTTATTTTTTTCTCCTATTTCCACACTCAAAGCCAGTGTCACATTTGATAACTAGCTGTCAAGGATATTTAATATCCATAATCATCTATGCCAGGAAAATTTTCCTAGCCAGATGGCCAACACTTGCAGTAGACTCATCTCCTTCAATTTATGATTAAAGAATGCTAGCACATGTTTCTTTGTGATTGTTGTATGTGTACACTGATTGTAATTAGTGCAGTAAATTTTTATGTATTAGCCATATCCCATGTCATTTAATGATTACCAAATGCCTATAATTTTAAAAATTAAATATAAAGTGTAATGTTTCTTTCATTATACTATTTGAAAAGTTATTTCTCTGGCACTATTTGAATTTAAATAGAAATTCAACTAATAATTATACAATACATTTTAAAGTATTTATAAGGATAATTTACGCTAAATGCCTTTTTAATGTTTGGAACCCAATACTTCTTTACTTTAAAAGAAAACTATGTTGTTACAAACCATAGGATATAGAATTAAAAATTCAAAAGCAATGTAAGTCCAATACTAATAAAACACACAGGTAGCATTCAATATTATGTATTTATAGATAAAACATTATCATAATTTTTTGCAATATATTTTAACTCAAAACACATGTAAAATAAGTTAAAATTATTTATGTAAAAAGCATCAATCTGCTACATTATTTAAAAATTTTTCTTCTGAAATACCGCCATTTAACAAATTACTCCATATTTGATTAACATTGCCAATATGAATTACCCTATATTTGATTAACATATGGCAATTCTATGCTACAATGAGTAACATTAATATGAGAAGGTCCTTAGCATTAAGACTTTTTCCATATTTTTTCTTTTACGATATGTCATTAAAATTGTGCATATAAAAATATGCCAACTTCATTTTTTATTTGTACTGTATTGATATTCATATCTCAATGCCTGCATGTGAACATGAGCCTTTACCTGAACAATATCCAACATTGTGTATTAAAGGTTTTGTCTGTTTTAATATCTGGTGCTATAATAGAAAAAAAGTCTCTCCTTATCATTTATTTTACTTTATTTGAACAATTACATTTAAAGTTGCTTTCATGTATTCTTCTTTAGGGATATCTTATTAATATAATGTCTGTATTTTGCTATAGAAATGCTCATTGTTTCACTGATTTGCAAAATTTTTTACTACCAAGGAAACATACTTTTTAATTTTTTGATGCAAGCAAATATTTCTCAATCTGTCTTTAAATTTAGTTTACCAATTCTCCGATATATAGCAGTGTTTTTATTTATATATAATTTATCATTCTTGTGTGCTATTTGTCATTGGAACAATGCTTAGGAAAATAGAGGACTAATTATTGTTATTTTATTATTTCAGTGTTTTATATTTAAAACTTAAGTAATTCACAAATTTGAAGTTTATTAATGTATATTTGTTGCTCCTGTTTTACGCAGGTTTAGAGTAATTCCTGGAATTTTTGTGTTGATTAGTTCTGTAATTTCCGTAACATAATCTCATACAATTTTCCATCTCTCCTTTCTGTATGTTACACTTTTGAAATTTCTCTGTATATTACAGAAATAAATTATTCAAAAAGCTTGAAGCCACTGAGTTGTATATATATATGTATATATAATATATCCTGTTTCATAATTTTACATCATATCTTATGCACACTAACTTTGCATAATATAGAGCACAAAAAGAAAGCAAAAGAGAAAAAAGATGAATTATATTACTTGCAATGTTTTTAGATAAAGAGTGGCTGGAAGCAGGCAGATATCCATTTCTGGAGAACGTGATTGAGACTCTTGGCAAAAGTCTCAATAGCTAAAGGTGTGTAAGTATATAAATCTATGAAATATCAGTGTTAATCTCTTGAAGTTATTCGTAATGCTGATCTAACACTGAATTTTTTGGAATCATAGCTTTTCAGACCACTGCATAAAGATTCACTTGCAGCACGAAACAACTGTCAAACTAAATATGTGTTCTAATCTTTTAAAACCATTTAAGTCTCATAAAATATGGCTTTAAATAAGTTTATGTAGTAATATGCAAGTCAGTATAATGTTAATGTATTGTTCTGATTATTATAAATATAATAAGAAAACTAATTCATATTTTAAAATTCCTGATTTTCTGTGGAAATATTATTTTGAAAAATCCCTCAAGCTCATTGCATTTCTGATTGCCTTTTCTCTGTAACTTAGTAACATCTACCAGTAAAGATTCCCCAGGGAAGATACACATGTTCCCAAATCCATCCTCACTCACCTATGTCACATATGCTGGTGGCAGTGTCCTTTAAAGTGGGATAGAATATCATTGGTTGTTGCAGACTTTTCCATGGCCCTATTCCCTCAGAACAGAGCTATCATTTAAAAGTGCACTGGCTTGCCTCAAAGGATGTCCCGGCAGCTTTGTTGACTCCTCCCCCTTTAGGGTCCACATCCCCAGGAGGAGCCAAAAGCTCTCTTGCTCCCTGTTTTAGTGATCCCATCTGTGGAGGTACTGGAATCGGGATACATAATCAAACACACATATATATAATAAGCATTTACAACTATTCTCATTCTGTGAGATTATTATGCCTGGAAGAATGATTCTCCAACTATCACTCAACTACAAAGTGGCCAAGAGCCTGAGCGTGACATAAACAATTGAACCTGTTGTTTAATGAATTTCCCCTGGACCCATAAAGTTATTATCAAAGGAAAGAAAACAATTCTACACTACCTTTCTGACATTCAGGGGCACTCACCTGAAATGTATTTTTGTCGGTACAGAAGCCTTTTCAAACTTTCTATCACCTGCCTTTGAAATAAACCTATCTAATATAGTATGGCATGACTCTTTCTGTTTTCTCTTATGATAAAAAAAATTTATTACATTACCTTTATATTACCACTGAGTAGCTTTCCTAATTCATTTTCAAATCCTCTTGTAGTGTTCCTTTTTCCTTCTCCTCCTTATTATCTTTTCCTCAATAATTGGGGGCAATGTGTGGTAAATACTGAAAGTCTTACATTTCTCCGAGCTCTAAAAAAGAGACCTCTTCATCCAAGAACACAAATATATGCAACTTAGAGCCACTTGGTGTTTTTAGCTCTCTATTTAGTTGCTCCTCCCAACTTTCCAACTTTGTTTTTTTTTTTTTTTTTTACCTGTAAGTATTAAGACTTAACCTACACTTCTACAGTTCTATTTGGAGAAGTTTCTAAAGCAAAGTGGCAACTACGTTCTCCTATAGTGCTAACACTGAATCTCCACAGTGTCTTGACTATTAGTGGGGTGTGTATATGAAACAAGGAGTCTGTTTTTTAGTTCTGACAATTACAAAGGGCAATTACAAAGCCCTCACCTACCAAGCCTCACAGGGAAGAGACACCCTCCACACAGCAAGCCTGGCACACAGCCTGTGCACTGTGGTTTCTGAAAGGAGCTGCCATGTAGGACTCAGGCTCCCAGACCAGTCATGAGCATTTGCATTCCTAGCCCTATCACCTTCATTCTCAAGTCTCTTCATCTTTTAAGAAAGGCTGAAGTAGCTGGGACAAATATCAAGGAGGTAGGAACCCTTAAAAATTACAAGGCTCTGAAGACTTGGGATGAGGAGAGAGCCAATTCAAAATCAAAGACCAATCTGAGTTGAAAGTATAGAAATCAGGGTGGGCATAGACTATATGCAGAAGAAGAAAGAGACCAGCATGACAGGAACTTGGCTTGCTGGAAAATTTAAAGACACTTGAATGAGAGAAATGCATGTTCAATATCAGTTCTACCACTCTTTAGCTATGCGACATTAGGATAGATAAAACAGCTTACTTACTTAAAGTCAAATAGAAATTCTTGGTAAAAAGTTAAAGATGTCTTTTAAGAATCTAAAATATGTGTATTCCAGGCATTGCAGATTATTGTTAGCTATTATTAGCGTTATTGAGTTCTCACCATGTCATGCTACACATTAAAGGTTATAAAAGGTGAAAAAGACAAGGTCCGTTCTTTGAATTGCTCACAGTCTACTGGGGAAATATTGATATATTAATTCAGCCATAGAATTTAGTCTCCTCTTTCAGCTTCTATGCTAAGCATAATGAACAGAAGCAATTGACCCTTATGCCAAAATCATTTAGCTCATATGAAATCGTGTGATGTATCTCATGGAAGCTGAAGTAAAAGAGTCAATGCTATAACATAATTAATATATTAATAAAAACATTTCTCCAGTAGGTTGGAAGTCACTCAATATGAAAATTCAGATCATGTTAATCCAACTGCAGACCATGTTACTGATAGTTTAGTACTTGGTGAGAAGACACTAACATGATTATAAGATTTTCAGCCTGGAAATAAAAAGACTAAGATAATATCAGTGATGTTTACAAATGTGAGAATGACAGAAGAAAGGAAGGACGGAAGGAAGGAAGGAAGGGAGGAGAAAGGAAGGGAAAGGAGGGAGAAAGTAAGCAGGCAAGAAAGAAAGAGAAAGAAAAGAGAGAGAAAGAAAGAGTGAGGGAGGTAGGAAAAGAGAAAGGGAGAAAAGAAAGAAAATGAGACAAAGAATAAAAAGGAAGGAGTGGGGGAAGGGAGGAGGAAGAGAGGAAGGGAGGAAGATAAAAAAGAGAGAGAAAAAAACTAAAGAAAAAGAAAGGAAGCAAGCAAGGAAGGAAGAAATTAAGGGCACAGAAAGCATAAAATTCCTCCAAAAACTCTATACCAGTAGAATGTACTATTTACTCAAAATAAAGCTCAGAAGGCAGCTATTCCATGAAGTTTGCTTTGCTGGCTTCCCTCATTTTCTTCCTTTACCCCCACTAGATTAAGGTCCCATGTTTTCAATTAAAAAAAAAAAGGCAGGGGGAAGCTTTTTTCTGCTTATATCTACCATAGTGGTGTTAGACAAGGTTTCCAGGATTTCAGATGGCTACTAATTTCTTTTTCCAATCTCAAATACATTGCTTGACACATTGCATGAGCCAAATAGCTTCCACAGGGAAAAAAGATATGAATGTGGGAGCAATCTTTAAAAATCCTTAAAATTCTTAAAACCATTAGAAATTTTTAGAAAAACTAAATACATACTTTTCATTAAGTAAATACTGCAGATTAAAAGCATTAAAGTAAATTAAGGAACATGCAGCTATTCTGTTATTATTATGAGTATTACTGCTAATGTTAGAAATATCAATGTAATGGTTTTATGTATTTAGAAGAGTAATGATAGATTAGCATAAATATCTCAGGATGTTACAAGTCAGAAGCCAAATAGAAAAGAGGTAGTTTAATTAAGCGTGGCGTTTCTTGAAGTTTTTATAAGATTTGATAAGTAATAAAAGACGGGATACTGACAAATATAATTTGCATTGTGGCATTATGCTGTAATTAGTTTATCAGCAGAATACATAGTTCAGAGTTTCCAGAAAATGAAGGTTTTTTAAAAAGAACTGTAATCTGATTTTAGTACCAGATTAAGTCGCCCAGAAAAACAAGAATCTCGCTCATTGTGTGCCGTTTCTCCTGGTACTTTCATTCTGATGTCTATCTTATAATAAGGAATGGGCTCCAACCCAAATGTATTGTGAGTAGTTAAATGGCAGTGTGTCCTCTCTTCCAGGTACTTTTAAAGGCTGAGTCACAACTTACTTTCTGTCTGTGGTTATAATTCCATTTTCTTATAGGGAATGTGTCTATGGCTGCAGCTGCTGATCAACTGCTGCTGACAGCGATTTTTGTTTCCTAAGTGGGAGTTAACTATGCCTCTTTTTGAACAATTTTTCAACATGGCATTTAGCCTAGAAAGAAACACTATTTTCCTAGATGTTCTTGACCTCCAAAGTCAGGTGAACTTCTTCAAATCTTCTCTCATCCCACTTATGTACCCATTATCTTGCCTTTATCCAGATTCCTCACTCACAGGAATTGAAGTACTCTCAAATGTGGGCTTTACCCTTGAACTTTTCTCATTCTGAGAGATTTCTACATTTCCCTTGCTGATAGATCTTCCATTACCCCCAGTTTTTACCTCCTTCACCCCAACGTATCTCAAAACCTACATGCTTCTCAAGTTTCCACTTAATCACAAATTGAATATTAAACCTAACATTATGGGTGATATAAAGGTGAATAAAACACAATCCCCTCCCTAGGAAGCTCATGGTCTAACATGGAAAAGTGACAGACATACATTATTTAAAAAAAAAAACAACAACAACAACAAACTACTGGGAAGGTCATATTTAGAGAAAAGCATCAGATTTAGTGGTGCACATGAAATGACCCTTATTTGAGTATAGTGTTTAAAGAGCTAAAGAGAAGGACTTTCTGCCTTAAGTATAATTTGAAGGAGAAAGATGGCATTCTAGGGGAAGGGGCAATATCAGCAAAGTCAGTAAGGCCATAAATAGCATACTATATGTTAGTGTTATGTGAAAGTGTGAAGAGTGAGGCAAGTGCCTTAACATTGAAAATAATATTTTCTGTCTTATAGACCTTAGCCTAATTCTATAGGAAAAAGGGATATATCAGGGTTTTTAAACAAGAAAATGCCATGATCAGATTTTACAACTCTGGTAAAAGTGTGGAAGAATGAATGAAGTTAGAAAATGTTGATGAAGTTGAACCCTTACCTTATAGAAACTCGAAATGAATCAAAGAAATAAATGTAAGAGCTACACCTATAAAACTCAGAAGAAAACCCAGGGGAAAACTTTATGGCATTGGGTTTAGCAGTGCTTTCTTGGATATAATACCAGATGAACAGGCAACAGCAAGAAGAAAAATAGATAAACTGACTACATAAAAATTTAAAACTTTTGTGCATCACAGGACACTATCAGTGGAGTGAAAAGGCAACATATAGAATAAGAAAAACATTTACAGATCATGTTGATCTCTAACAAGGGATTAATGTTCAGAATATATAAAGAACTTCTACAACTCAACAATAAAAAATATAAACAACCTAATTTTTAAAAATCAGAAAAGGTCGTGAATAGATATTTCACCAAAAAACGCACACATGAACAAGGAGCACACTGAAAAGATGTTCATCGGTAATCATGAAGGAAAGCAAATCAAAACCACAATGAGATATCATCCCACACACATTAAGGTGACTAGTATATTAAAAAAGCTAAAAATAACTAGTGTTGGTGAAGATGTGGAAAAATTGATGCTCTTGTGCATTGCTGCCAGAAATGTAAAATGGTGTGGCTATTAAGGAAAACCATGTGAAAATTAACTCAAAGTAATTAAAAATAGGATGAACATATGATACAGCAATTCCACTTCTTGGTGCATACTCAAAAGAATTGGAAGTATTGACTCAAAGATATGTTTGTACACTCATGTTCACAGCAACATTATTCATTGTAGTCAAAAGGTGGAAGCAAGCCAAGCGTTCGTTGCCAGCTGGATGGGTAAACAAAATGTGTTATATACAGACGACTGAATATCAATTAGCTTAAAAAATGAAAAGAAATTTAATGCATATTACAGCATGGATGAACCTTGAAGAGATTATCCTAAGTGAAATAAGCCAGTAACAAAAGGATAGAGACTATATGATTCTATCTATGTATGGTATCTGGGGTAGTCAAATTCATAAACAGAAAGTAGAATGGTTGTTTCCACAGGCTGGAGGGAGTGGGAATAGGGAGTTATTGTCAAATATGTATGGGATTTCTGTTTGAGAAGATGAAAAATGTCCTGGAGATGGATGGAGGTGATGGGTGCATAACAATGTGATTATACTTAATGCCCACCGAGCTGTATACTTAAAAATGGTGAAAATTGCAAATTTTATGTTATATATATATTTACCACTATTAAACAAACAGACAAATGGATGGCCTAAATTTAATTACTATTAGTAGGCAGGGATAGGAGAGAATGAGTTGAGAAATATCTACAACATAAAATAGCAATATATGGGGAAAGAGAAATGTAACCGGAAGGGTAAACTACACTATGTAATCAAAGTAGGTTATATTTAACCTGTCTTCTTTTAAGTTTTCAGAAGTAGTGGTCTAAATATACCAGAAATGGTAAGTAAGACAAAATCTTTCACATGGCAAAATCTGCAGACCAGCAGAACCTGAATGAAGGTAGAGGGCTCAGGAGAGTCTCCAAACCATCTCTATTTTTAATAAGCTCCCTAGATGACTTAAAAGCATATCAAAGTTTTCAAATAAAAACACTGGAGAGAAAGAAAGATTAGGAGAATGAATTGGGACATCTGGAGTACAAGATGAATCATATAGGTAGGTGGAAGCTAACCAGAGATAGAGGTGCATGAAATACAGGGGCAGTTAACTGTGTCAAATGCAGCAGAGATGTCCACTAAAGAAAAATATATTTATTGGGTTAAAATAGCTAATTACTGGTGACATTAGCTGGATAGTGTCAAAACAGTTGTGGAATCATAAATACAGTTAACATGGGTTGTGGAAAATAAAATATCAATTGACATGATTTAAGAAGTTAATGGTAGATCATGATTTAAAAATGGATTAAGTAGAAGAGAAAGAAAGAAAGAGGCATAATAGCTAGAGGAATAATAAGATAAAATAAAGCTTTTTCATTCACATGAAAGGTATGTGAGCATGTTCATAGACAATGTAGACATCCAGCAAAAGGAGTGAGCCACAGAAGAGAAAGGAGAAGAGACATGAAGCATATGGCTTATAACCAAAGAACAAGGTAACCTTAACTGGAGGTGGCTAGTTAAACATATGCCTCTCCTGGATTTCTGAATTTTCTTCAGTGCATGCAGTAAGCCTTAAATTGCTTCGGTTGAAACTAAAAAAAATTTTGTCTCATAATTATTTTATTTCTCAAAAAACTATGATGGTACTTACATTGTGGTGCATATTTTAGGTACATATTCAAGGAATTCAGAATCTAAACATTTCTACACATCTCATAGTTTGTTGACTTTTCTTCCTCAGCTTGAGATTCAAATAAAAGGCAGGAAAACTTACGTCCCATTTTACAGTTTGCTTCCTCTCTCAGGATGAGTGCCTAGGGGGCACCTCTATACATGCACTTTAAAAGGAAATGTCACATTTGTACCTATGCTGCAAGTGAGGAGTTAAATGGGGCCAGCAGGACAGAGCACAGCTCTTAAAGACTATCTTCTACAAGAAATCATAAAAGTCCTCGCAGAGATAGCTTCATTTCCAGGTGCTGAATCGTGATCTTACTCATTTCATTTGTAACACACAAATTGCAGAAGAGATTAAGAAACACTTCAGGGTTATAGATATGCAAAAGAGCACCCCGCACAAAAAATCTCACCGCCAGCACTATGAACAAATTACACCATTTGTGTGTCCGTCTCCACTTTAGGTAAAGGAGCAGTTGAACTAAGAATCCATCTGGCCTAGGCAAGAAAATATGCTCAATGAAATTAGTTTTTGAAAGTTTGATGCCAGAAGTGTATTATGTCACTAGACAAGCATGGATTATGTTACCAGGACTCTTCTATGGAATAAAATATTAAATCCTTAAGTGTCTCAAAAGAACGCCAAAGGAATAGAGCTAACTCAAAGTAGTATGATAAAATGTTTGACAGCCTTAGAGAAATTTAGAAATAATTTCCCCTATTTCAAAATTGGGAATCCTCCTCAGACTTAAACAACTAGAGGAGTGGGAGATTCGAATAATTAATTACTTCATGTAGGAAAATATGCATTTTCTATAAGAACACACACACACCCAGAAAAAAGCAACAGTGTAGTTTAATCAAAGTGGTACTCAAGTGGAAGATGCTCAGTTCCTACTTATTGGAAAATACTTATTTTTTTAGTCTGCTATTTTCTATCCTTAGGAAAGGACATGCAAAAATCATGTGTTTTTCACAACTTGTGAAAGCCACAGGCATACACAAACGTTATTTAAAAAATCCACTGTGCTAATCTGCTCTTAACGGTAATGAAATATTTTATGTAATTATGTAAAAACTACAAAAAACAACAGATGAATATTTGCCATTCTCCATTTTCTATTGTTGGCAGAGTCATATATACCCAGAAAGATGCAAAGCATTTGAAAAGCTAACCAGCGAACCGGAATGATGAGAGAAATATTACTGATACCAAAACATGAAATGATAAAAATATGTTTTCAAAACACCTCATAACCTATATCAAACATTGTCATGCAAGTTTATTTATATTTGGCTAGTTTTTCTTCTTCATCCACTGCATTTATTTATTACTTTAAAAATATTTTCTGATTGCTTTCTTTGTGCCAGATACTGGTCTGAGCACTGGGGATACTAGAGAAACCAAAAAATAGCAACAACGATAACAAAACCAAACCAAAGAAAACCTGTGTTTGTAGAATTAAGTTCAAGTGAATTCACTCTATTGTCCAAACCTGACAATTCTTTCTATATATTATTGTTGGTAACTGCCTCCTCATTTCCTATTCTTCTGTCACTCTTTTCCTCTCACTGTTTAATCTGGGTTACTGAAATGCCTCCCCAAGAAATCTTCCTTTTCCAGTGATTCTCCTTTTTAACCAGTGAACCCTCCTCTATGATTTATTTTTCTTTAAAAAATTTTCATTATGACAGAACTCTGCTCAAACGTTTAATTGCTTTCTTATTGCCTAGAAATTCGTCAACATTTCTTTAAGGCAGTTTATTTATGAACAATGATTTGATTTTCCAGAATGCTCTGCAAATTATGCCACTTAACTAATCCTAATGTTAAAAAGGACTGCTTCCTACTCTCAGGAATGTCACTTGGATTTCTGGCTTCCATGCCTTGGTTGCTGCTACACATCAGACAATCCCCACATTTCCCTGTTAAAATTTTTAACTTATTTTTCAAACACTTGAGTATACCTCCTCTTCTATAATATTTTTATAATCCCCAGGCTAGTGCATCTTCCCTCATTTTAATTCTCACAACCTCCCTTTTCATTTGCATGAGAGGCCTCACAGTTGCCTTTTCTTATATAAACTTTTCGACACATTCTTAGTTTTTTGGAGACAGAAGGCATTGCTTCTGAGTCCTGGCTTCATTACTTACTAAGTGACCTTGACGTACTTCACTTCTGATCCATTTTTCCCACAGCAAAGTAGAAACAGATTATTTACAGAATTATTAGAAATCATGTATGTAGAAATCCACAAGGCATCTGCATGTAAACTACCATTTGAGAAGTATGGCTGTATATTCTAGAATAGAGACAAATGCTAGGCTTCTTTATGGTTACAGTCACAGTGCCTGGGCAATATTAGAAATGTAATACATATTTGTAACATATTGTACTGGAGGACAATGCTTATTTTCAATGAACGTCATGACTACAAAATGCTGGGTATTTAAATAAAACCTGAGACTTTGAAGCGCAAATATGCATAAAATTTGGAATCTATTCTAGGTACTTATAAATAGAAAATTTTGTTTTCATTTAATTTTTCTCCATTATCTTCCTCTTGTTTCACTACACAGGAAGAAATATATTACACTAATACATAATCAACAAGTAAGCTACTTCATATTGCATTATATATTTACTAAACCTATGCATTATATTTTTTATTGCTTATTCCTCATTGATGACCTTTCAAAATTAGTTGCAATGGAAGTTTTAAAGCTTTATTATTATATGTAAATTTCTTATTAAAAGAATCTGATTTTTCAGCAAATCCAAAAGTTAGATATGAAAATTAACTTTTTGTTCTATCTTATAAAAAGAAAGTTTTCAAATCCAAAGAAAATAAGACTTTGGGTACAGATAAGTGTTAATAAATATAAAAATTTAACAATAATAATACTTTATGATAGTCTACTGATTTTCACTGCCAACAAGTGAAAGTAGTATTTTCAGGGGGAGTCAAGGGAGTGAACATTTTTTTGGTAAAAGGAAGTCAAGAGTTGTAATTACACCTACAACAATATTGTAGTGAGTAATCGTTATAAACATACACAATTTTTGGATATAAACTATAAAAAATCAAAAAGAGCAACAGTTTAGAAAAGTTCCTGTAATTTGAAAACTAATATATGTTTTAATTTTCTGAGTTTAGTCAAACTTGTAGTATGGAATATTTGGGGTATGAAGTCCATCTGTAGCATAGAATATTTCGGATATAAAGAGATGAACTTTTTCAGGCATAGCATACCTTTTTCTAAAATACCCAACAGTTAGAAATTCTGTCCATTTTGTTAATACATTTTGGACTATTTACATTCTATTATTAAAGGAAATTACCAGAATTGCTTAAATTTTATGAATTTAGGTATAGATTCAAGTTTAATCTATACAGATTTATGGAACAAAAATTAGAATTTTTTTATCTGATTTGAAAATAATTGATGATTTTCTAATATGTTAATCATAGTTAAGTAGAATAGTCATATATATTTGACCAACATAAACTATACTTATAGATATATATTTGTTATAATCATGTAGCTAGAATCAGAAACATATTTGAAATTACAAACACAACAATCAAAGAAACTAGAATGTCTTTAGTGTGAATACTTTAGCTACAGTAAAATGTTAGTAAATTGTTTTTATTATGCCTGATCCATCAGTTAGTAAAGTCCTATATGGTTGCCAGCATGTCTTGTAACTGAAATCAACTAATTACTCCAAGTCATGAGTAAGTGAAGAAGAATAAGAAGGTAACAGAAAAGAAAGAGGAAAAAGAGAAAAGAGAATAAACTCTCACTGTAGTGCCTTGCAGAAACCAGTATTTTCCACCTAGGTAGCTGATTCCCACATAGCAGTTAACTCAGCATGAGATCCATTCATAATTTCCATTATCATTTCTGTTTTTAGTAATCACTTTTTGAGTATCCATACACACTACATTCCAAATAAATTAAATTATTTCTGGATAAAAATAAAGAAAATTACAATGTACTCAAGAACTGTGACTCCTAAGACAAATAATGAATTCAAATAAATAAATTAAAAGTATTTTATTTAACGGTTATAGTGGCAAACAGACAAATTCAAATAGGAGATGAGTGGAAAACTCAGAAATACAGTGGACAGCCAATATCATACTGAATGGGCAAAAACTGGAAGCATTCCCTTTGAAAACTGGCACAAGACAGGGATGCCCTCTCTCACCACTCCTATTCAACATAGTGTTGGAAGTTCTGGCCAGGGCAATTAGGCAGGAGAAGGAAATAAAGGGTATTCAATTAGGAAAAGAGGAATTCAAATTGTCCCTGTTTGCAGATGATATGATTGTATATCTAGGAAACCCCATTGTCTCAGCCCAAAATCTCCTTAAGCTGATAAGCAACTTCAGCAAAGTCTCAGGATACAAAATCAATGTACAAAAATCACAAGCATTCTTATACACCAATAACAGACAAACAGAGAGCCAAATCATGAGTGAACTCCCATTCACAATTGCTTCAAAGAGAATAAAATACCTAGGAATCCAACTTACAAGGGACATGAAGGACCTCTTCAAGGAGTACTACAAACCACTGCTCAATGAAATAAAAGAGGATACAAACAAATGGAAGAACATTCCATGCTCATGGGTAGGAAGAATCAATATCATGAAAATGGCCATACTGCCCAAAAAGTAATTAACAGATTCAATGCCATCCCCATAAAGCTACCAATGACTTTCTTCACAGAATTGGAAAAAAATACTTTAAAGTTCATATGGCACCAAAAAAGAGCCCGCATTGCCAAGTCAACACTAAGCCAAAAGAACAAAGCTGGAGGCATCACGCTACCTGACTTCAAACTATACTACAAGGCTACAGTAACCAAAAGGGCATGGTACTGGTACCAAAACAGAGATAAAGATCAATGGAACAGAACAGAGCCCTCAGAAATAACGCCTCATATCTACAACTATCTGATCTTTGACAAACCTGAGATAAACAAGCAATGGGGAAAGGATTCCCTATTTAATAAATGGTGCTGGGAAAACTGGCTAGCCATATATAGAAAGCTGAAACTGGATCCCTTCTTTACACCTTATACAAAAATTAATTCAAGATGGATTAAAGACTTAAACGTTAGACCTAAAACCATAAAAACCCTAGAAGAAAACCTAGGCATTACCATTCAGGACATGGGCATGGGCAAGGACTTCACGTCTAAAACATCAAAAGCAATGGCAACAAAAGCCAAAATTGACAAATGGGATCTAATTAAACTAAAGAGCTTCTGCACAGCAAAAGAAACTACCATCAGAGTGAATAGGCAACCTACAAAATGGGAGAAAATTTTCGCAACCTACTCATCTGACAAAGGGCTAACATGCAGAATCTACAATGAACTCAAACAAATTTACAAGAAAAAACCAAACAACCCCATCAAAAAGTGGGCAAAGGACATGAACAGACATTTCTCAAAAGAAGACATTTATGCAGCCAAAAAACACATGAAAAAATGCTCACCATCACTGGCTATCAGAGAAATGCAAATCAAAAGCACAATGAGATACCAACTCACACCAGTTAGAATGGCAATCATTAAAAAGTCAGGAAACAACAGGTGCTGGAGAGGATGTGGAGAAATAGGAACACTTTTACACTGTTGGTGGGACTGTAAACTAGTTCAACCATTGTGGAAGTCGGTGTGGCGATTCCTCAGGGATCTAGAACTAGAAATACCATTTGACCCAGCCATCCTTTGCTATATACCCAAAGGACTATAAATCATGCTGCTATAAGGACACATGCACACGTATGTTTATTGCGGCACTATTCACTATTGCAAAGACTTGGAACCAACCTAAATGTCCAACAATAATAGACTGGATTAAGAAAATGTGGCACATATACACCATAGAATACTATGCAGCCATAAAAAATGATGAGTTCATGTCCTTTGTAGGGACATGGATGAAGTTGGAAATCATCATTCTCAGTAAACTATCGCAAGAACAAAAAACCAAACACTGTATATTCTCACTCATAGGTGGGAATTGAACAATGAGAACACATGGACACAGGAAGAGGAACATCACACTCTGGGGACTGTTGTGGGGTGGGGGGAGAGGGGAGGGATAGCACTGGGAGATATACCTAATGCTAGATGACGAGTTAGTGGGTGCAGCGCACCAGCATGTCACATGTATACATATGTAGCTAACCTGCACATTGTGCACATGTACCCTAAAACTTAAAGTATAATAATAATAAAATAAAAAAACAAAAAAATACAAAAATAAAATAAAATTAAACCAAAAAAAAAAAAAAAAGAAATACAGTGGAAAACTCCCCTATGTTTTACTAATATACTGATATATGTGTGATTAATAGAAACATCAAAATAAAAATAATTCAAAGTAATCAGTATTAAAATTAATATTTGATTAACATTTAATAGGCAATTTTTTAAGCTAGGTTTCCAAATTAAAGTGAGGAAAGGAAATTACAAATTTATTTCCCTTCTATTAAAATTGTATATTTTTATATGTTTCTCTGTCCACGTAGCTACTGTGTGGAGAGTAATGACTGGTTCTATTTTGTCATTTTAAAGTATGCATTGTATGTGGAATATCTCCTTTATGCTCAATGAATAAGAATCAACCTAGTAAGACAAGGCATACTCATTCATTTATTTACTTACACTAAAAGGATATAAACTCTGGCCACTATGTTAAAAGGTAAATCAAAACTGGCCAATTTCTTTCTTTTTTTTTTTTTTTTTTGAGACGGAGTCTCGCTCTGTGGCCCAGGCTGGAGTGCAGTGGCGTGATCTCGGCTCACTGCAAGCTCCGCCTCCCGGGTTCAAGCCATTCTCCTGCCTCAGCCTCCCGAGTAGCTGGGACTACCAATTTCTAACAAGAACCATTGTCAGTTGCCAAAGAGTGACCAAAGTAATGTTGCTGCTTATTTTATCCCACACTGACCTCACTCCCAGCAGATTATGAAAACTTGCATGATTTTAGCAGTAAAAGTAAAGAGTAAGCGTTACACATAACATACCTTACAGTTTGGCCTTATTGTGCTGCTCCTTCTGAAAGCGGTCAGAGTGGCAGTCATCTGACTTGACAGAATTGTGATATATACATACATATAGTGTATATACATTTTTGCTGTCTTGGTGGCTGTCTTCTCATTTTCAGAAGGCATTTCCCTATCTACCACTTTTTCTGTTAGCCTTATGGTCTTCAAACAGTGATTTTTCACAAATGCAGCTATTCTGCCTTGTCAGCAAAATGTGTCTGCTACTGTCACTTCATAGGCATAATCAGGCTGTAAAAGGTTTATATAAAAATTATCCGGCTCACATGATAGAAACCATGTAATTTCATGGTATTACTAGATAATTAGTTAGAAATCCTTCCACAATCCAGCTCAGTTATTAAGGTGGGCCACTTTATTTATGACTTGGCTAATCATTACATAGTAAGGATATCCAAAAGAATATTCTCTAGTTAGAAATGTACAAAACCGCAATGGTTTCTTAAAGTTTGACTAGGCAGAGGCTGGCTTTAATGAAAGCTTAGTAATATATATATTTCATTTGAAAATTAAATGAATATTTTAAAAAGGCATCCTGGAAGTTACAGTATTATTTAGAATTGTATGTATTTGACTGAACATGAATTTTTCATAATGTGATTTTAAAAAGATGAAGATGCCTACTGCAAGTATCCAAATTGCTCCACTAGAATTTACATAGTGCTGCATGAAATGTTATGGCCTCACCTTTTGCATTAATACAGTATTTTCAAGGGTGTATGTCTGTAACTGAAAAAAAAAAGCACTTGGCATTTAAATTGCCTAATGCAAAGTATTTGAACAGCAATTTTAATTTTAAAGTTATATATCCTTTTTCACTTTTTTCACTAACAAATTGGATTAAATGCATAGTTAAGAAATGGTTAAGAAACACCCAAAATGAATTTACAGTTGGGTTGGATTTAGCAACTATAATCTGTTTGTGATGTTAAATTCTTTTCTGATATAAATCAAAGTCTAAAAAAACCCAAACTTTATGCTGTCAACAAAGATAATCTAACTTACGATGCACCTTAAGTATTTATTACATTGGTGACTATTACAAAGAACTATATGTTGCAATGTTTTAAAAAATTAAAAATCAAATGTAAGTTACTAGAAACATATTTCCAATCAATTTATAGGTTATTTCCTTCTGTCTTCTTCAAATATAAAGAAACCGGAACAACTCCAATTCTAGGAAAGTAATTACACATATCAAGACCTGCCAAAGAAATTCAAGGCAGGTAATAGTAGGTGAATATTACGGTGGAGAGAGAAAATCCTGGAGATGGATATTCAGCTCATGTACTAGGGTTAGATCAGCAGCTTTGGGTAGTTAAAAATAAAAGGAAACTCCTGAGGATACAACACATCTCAAGCCAAGTGATATTCACTCAATTTCTTTTCTTTTACTGATGTTTTCCCAGCCGCTATCCATTATTTCTAATGAAGATTTCTTTCTTCCCTAACCCACCACATAATATAATGTAGCTACCAACACGCAGTGGTTTTTACATCTAAAACAAATCCATGATCCATTTCTCTCTCCCCGCTCCCCGCCCCTCCTTCTTGTTGGTAGTGTTAGAAAGACACTGAGATAGGGTTAAATGTTTAATTTTCTTCTTTGCCTACCAGTCTTTCTTGGCATATAGACAGGGACTAGTAATGACACACACACACACATAAACACACACACACACACATTCAAGCTAAGCTCCTAATGCTCCTACTGACAGCAAACGGACAGACAAAAGCCATCTACACATCAGAAGGAAATTGCAAGGAAATATCATCACAGAAACTAGGCCCAGGGCTTTGCATTTCCAATCAGGACTTTTCCTGGGAACTATGAATGAAAAAATGGAATAGGCACTGGAAAGTGCCTGGCATGTACAGAATTCTAGGGTTGTTTGGAAACAACCTCAGAAATAGTCTCTCTTCCAATTTTTCTCTTTACTCTGCTTTTGTTGTTGTTGTTAACTTCATGTTGCCACCAATGGCTGTACCTTGCGCCAGCCCCAGGAGCCTGTGAAAGTGTGGGAGGTGAGAGAGGTTTCACAGGCAGCTATCTAGAGAATCTAAGTAAGGAGAGCAGGCAATTTCAAATGCAGCAGCAGAAAAATGCTTCAGTTCAAGAAACACTAAACTGTTCTGACTATTCTTAGTGGCTATTCCAAAGTAAGATCTTTGAGTGACTCAGATTATTTTAAATATCAGCTTGTATAATCTTAAGAAGTTCATAGATTAGTGTAGTTTTCAAAATAAATTATATAAATACGTAGCCATTTATAACCCAAACTTAACTATTTTTAAGAAGTTAGGGAAATGAAATAACAGAAGAGTTGACCAAAAAATAAAAAATGCAAACCAATTATTCTTGAATAATGGTAAGGCAAAATTCACTTATGAATGATATATTTTATATTACTCCCCAAAGAATTATTACAAGCTTTAGGAGTACTCAAAGCAACAAGGTTAAATGAAGAATAAATTTACCAATTTGCAAAATTTAATTTTATACACATACACAAATAAAACAATTTTTAACAAATTTAAAATTCATGGTCCACCAAATTATTTTTCATTATTTAACTCAATAGGAACTTTCAGATCAACACGTACATATTGTAAAAAATAGTTGACTCCACATTATGCAATATACTATAGCAAAGGAATATTAAAATAGTAGATAAGAAAGGGCACTGGAGTTTTGTAAAACAGGAAAAAAGAAGTCCTGTATTTTATACATTGAATATTTATCCACAATAGCATAATTTGTCTGAAAATAAAGTAATGATCTACAATTATATAACAAGGAGTATCTTGGGATATTTCAATAATTCAAACATTTATTTTTTAGAAAAGTGGTATAGCAAATGAGAATTATGCAACTAAATCACCATTCTAAGAATAAAATGTCAAAAATAATCCTACAATGACATACTTGAAATGTTTCATATCCAACAAGGCAAAACAAGTAGAAAAGGGAAACTAATTCACAATTAGAAGTCAATATTTTACATGGTTTTGCACTTTTGTCTTTATCTTAATTATGTGGCACCTAGTGTCAGATTACTTGTAAAAAGTATAAAAAAGGGGGCCAGGTGTGGTGGCTTATGCCTGTAATCCCAGCACTTCGGGAGTCCGAGGCGGGTGGATCATGAGGTCAGGAGTTCGATACCAGCCTGACCAACATGGTGAAACCTGTCTCTACTAAAGATACAAAAATTAGCCAGGTGTGGTAGCGCGTGCCTGTAATCCCAGCTACTTGGGAGGCTGAGGCAGGAGAATCACTAGAACCTGGGAGGCGGAGGTTGCAGTGAGTCGAGATTGCACCATTGCACTGAAGCCTGGGTGACAGGGCAAGACTCTGTCTCAAAAAAAAAAAAAAAAAGTATAAAAAAGGGAGAGATTAAAAAAAAATCTCTGTTTAAATTTAACCTGCATTGGCTATATTTGTACACTCAAAATCTCCATTTTTTTCTAGATGAAAACCATATTTTTGAAATATTAGTATATTTGACAATGAAATCTGAAGATGAGTGAGTATTGCTAACATCTTGCTTACTATCCCCTTAAGATGAAAACCGTATTCACTTGACAAAGCATAGCCTGCAATGGCAACATTAGTAAGCCACACTCTGTTCTGAAAACATGACAGACAGAGATGATATCTCACATGGCTTCTTGGCATCATTTTCTTCCAGTGATTGGTAAGATAAAAGGATTGCTAAAAGTATGTGCTGCTCCTTCCTTCTAATCTTCAACAGGTTCTTGTTGTGTACAATTTATAAGAAAAATGCTCATGATTGCGTACAAAATATGAAATAAAAAATACACAAATTGATAAAACGAGCAACCCTCCCTGCAAAATTTGTATAACACAACATGAACGAATGTATTATATCATAAAACACATGCTGAACAACGGAGACATTGTTTGCATCTTGCTTCTTCAGTTCTCTTATGTTTGCAAACACAAAAGATAAGTTTGCTGCACCAGTTTAAAATTGCTGGCCATGTGAATTCCTCTTTATTAGTTATGTACTGGAGTGTTTTAACATATGTTAAAGATAATAATGGTATTGAAATAGTGACACTATCAGAGTACTTAATCATTTTATCATATGTAGTTATATTATCTTACAGAAAATATATTTAATGCCAAACTTTGAATTTTCTTTTTAAAAATCCCAATCAGAAGACTAAAAACAATTATGTGGTTTTGATCACATTTTAAAATAATGAGTATAAAATCTGTTTATTTTAGAAGAGAAACACATTATAATATTATTATTGAAGAGCTATATTTTTACTTAAGAAACTTTAAATTAGAATTAAAAGGAATATTTTAAAAGAAAGAATTACTTGTTCATTAGAACACGGCTTTCACAAAACTTAATTATATTTATTGAAGTAGAAATAAAAGAATTATGTACCAATAAATGACTTAAAACTGAACAGTGGAATGCCAAAATACATTTTTTGCCCAAGCTCATAGTAATAATTATGTATATTAAGTAAATATACGTAATTATATACGTATAAATATATATACATAAAAATATACATTTTTAAATTATGCATATTAAGTAAATATACATAATTATTATATCAACCAATCAATGCCAAAAAACTGTGTATATTTTCTTTGCTTGTTTTTAGAACTTTTAACTAATATCAGCATAAACATAGCCACACATATGAAAAAATGCAACTGTTAGAAATGCACTCCATTTTTCTATTAATATCCCATAAGAAAAATGAAGCAAATGCAGTTAAAAACAATTTTTTTAAAGCTCTGATATCTAGTAGTTGGAAATAATTAGATTTGGTGGCTATATTATGTCTTCTTTAATGTTTTGATTAAATCCCCTATCAATGGACACTTTTTAACCAAGATGAAAAATATAAACCACAAAAAGGCAGGTGAGTTATTGTCTTGGAGGCCTACATTTTCTACTTGATTGGCAGGCTTCATCTTCCATGTAAGATGAATGAGTCAAAATACAGTATTTCTGTCTCTGGTGCTGAATTGGGTTTCCAGCTCAGCATCCCCTAATATCATTGCTGTCACATATCCTGTGACTCTGTAGCTAGAGGTACGTTCTATAGACTTGAAATCTTTTTTGATATCTGAGGCACCTTCATCATAATATTACTATCATCAAGCAGAATGTCATGAACAAATTAACAACTAGAAAAAATACATTTGCAGCAACATGAGTGTAACTTCTGTAATTAATAAACCTCGAGTTAAAATTAAATCCAAAAGAGAGAAGGAGACTGAAAGGGGAAGTATGATTTATCTACTTCAGTTTTCCTAGCATACATTAAAGCAAAGTCAGTGAATTCCTAGTTATGAACAATTAGAACAATGTAAGTATAACAAATTTTCAGAGCTCAAAGTAATGTAACCATTTAAAGAGAGGTCACAATGTACCGTGATAAAGCCTTTAACTGAATTGAATATTGTCAACATGTACAAAGATTTATAATCACTTTAAAATGTCTTTGATTTCCATATACAGACAAATGCCAAAATCCTTGTACAACAATTCCTCAAATAATATTTTATCATTCAACATCGTTTCATTACAAACTTGATGAAGGAAAAACAACCAACAAACAGAAAAACCCTGCAGGGACCACTGTCTGTGTGGGGTATGCAAGTTCTTCCTATGTTCTCATGGGTTTTCTCTAAGCACTCCAGTTTACTCTAGTATCCCAAAGATGTGCATGTTGGGTTCATCGGTGTGTCTACACTGTCCCAGTGTGAGTGAGTGTGGGTGTGTGTGAGTGCACCCTGCAATGGGACGATGTCTTGCCCATGGTTAGTCTTTTTTTTTTTTTTTTTTTTTTTTTTTTTTTTTTTAGAGTCTCACTCCCTCACCCAGGCTGGAGTGCAGTATCACGATCTCAGCTCACTGCAACCGCTGCCTCCGGGTTCAAGCTTCAGCCTCCCGAGTAGCTGGGATTACAGGCATGTACCACTACATCCAATTAATATTTGTATTTTTAGTGGAGATGAGGTTTCATCATGTTGGCCAGGCTAGTCTGGAACCCCTGACCTCAAGTGATTCACCAGCCTCTGCCTCCCAAAGTGCTGGGATTACAGGCGAGAGCCACGGCGCCTGGTCCCACGATTACTTCTTGCCTTGCACCCTGAGCTTCTGGGATAGGCTGCAGCCACTGGAGACCCTGAACTGAAATAATTGGGTAAAAAATAATTTTACTTGATTTTAATAATCATTCATATATATATGTATATATATATATTTCACATACATTTCAATGTTTAGTATTAGAAGTGTTTTGCTCTTTATTTAGAAATTTGGTGATGTTTTCGTGACCAGAAATATGCCCTAGGAACTTAACTCTTGTTTACATCATTAACCTATGGTAAAATTGCTTTCCTTATATGTTTTTTTTGCTTAGAGTCGCAGTTTCCAAGAGCCTTTCAATAACTTTGAGTGAGTATTTACTCTATTTACTTTAGTTTCCAACCCCTTCTGGCTTGTTGCAATACAAGAGTTACCAGATAAACATGCTATGTTACATACAGTGCATGAAAGGAATAGGACAATCTAGATACAGAGATAAATATTTTAACATTCCTGAATCACATATAATTATAGTAATTGACGCTGTAATAATATGTCATGAAATGTAGTCCAACAATAATGTAAAAATGTTAATATGGATCATGTGAATAATCACTATATAGGAACGTTTGTACCAACATTCCATATCCAGAATAAATAAAAATTTAATGAGAAAAATGTGAGACTCCAAGCGTCTAATCCTAGTTAATACACAATCTCATTCCAGCATTTCAGCTATAAATCAATAGAGATACTCAGTCAAAATATAAGGATATACATTTTTTACGACTGAATAAATATTTGGTAAAAGAAATGACTTTCATTTTTTAATAGAGATTTTCTTTATAGCACCATAGGTCCAGTGTAACAGTTCCAGATGATAACAACTACAAAGAGTTTTATTACAGAATGACTTCTAGATGAAAAATGTGGCAACAACAATAACTTAACTCATTTCAAGAAAATGAGATCAAATGGAATTTTGTCCAGTACTTCTAATATTCATTATACACGTCTAACAACAACGTTGAGGCAGATTATAGTGTAGTGAGATTAAGAATTTGTTTAAAATTATTTACCCAAAATTCCTAGAAGATTATCATGTTTATTTATTTACTACATGACAGATACTAAGTTCAGAACTCCTTAAAGCTAACATAAGATTTATTATTTTGGCCAGACACAGTGGCACATGCCTGTAATTTCAGCACTTTGGGAGGCCGCGGCAGGTGGATCACCTGAAGTCAGGAGTTCAAGACCAGCCTGGCCAACATGGTGAAACCCCGTCTCTACTAAAAATACAAAAATTAGCCGGGCATGGTGGTGGGCACCTGTAATCCCAGCTACTTGGGAGGCTGAGGCAGGAGAATTACTTGAACTCAGGAGGTGGGGGCTGTGGTGAGCAGAAATTGCACCACTGCACTCCAGCCTGGATAACAGAGCAAGACTCTGTCTTGAAAAAAAAAAAAAAAAATATATATATATATATATATATATATATATATATACACACACACACCTATATATAGATATATAGATAATTTTATAAATTGTCTTAGTTTGGTAATACCTACAATCTTAGTTTCCTTTGCTTCACTGTAACCTCATTTCATCTGCATGGGAAATTTCTTGTTTTATAGAAAGATTTTCAAATGGAAAAGAATCTTTATTTGTAGTACATGCAATAGAGAGCAAAATTAAACCAAACATCACTGTTCCTATTATGATGGTTACAAATTTTTCATAGCTATGGCCCAGAGTACACATGGAAGAGTATGAAAATTCATACTACTCTTGGTTACCATGTGAAAAACCCACACAAGTGTTTTTTTCTAATTATTTATAAATAAAAAACTACTTCTTTAAACTAATATTTTCTTCTTTCTCTGGTACTGGAAGTAATATTGCCTATAGTATTATTCATAATACATATAATGACTAAATTTTGATGTGATTTTACTTTAAGACATTCCAAATAGAAATTTAGCCATATAAAATTTGCGTTAAAGATGTACACATTATTCAATTTTAACAAAAATAATTTAAATTTCTGAAAATACACATGGAACTGTATTTTTCCAAGTCACTTTACAAAACTATTTATAATAGGATATAATATATTATGATGTAATATATTATCAATATGTAGAGCTTACTTTTTCACACAGTTGTCTAGATGTTATGTTGTCTATTTTTCAATTTAACAAACAAAAATGTAATTTCAACTATAAATGTGGGTACTCATGCACAAGAATATCCACATTCCCACTTAAAAAGACAGACACACTGATGTTCTCATGTTAGCACTATTCATAAAATCATGTTTCATGTATTAAAAAGAGATTCAAATTTTAGGAAAAAAAGCTATGTATTTTTCTTTTTAAAAGTATTTACTATGAATCAGCATATTATAAAACATCTTTAGTACCCAACATTATAATTGGTTTTGCAGTTCTAATTTAGAAAATTCATTGTTTAAATGACGTGTTTTTGATTGATTTTAGTTTAAATGTTATTTAAATGCTCAATGAAATAGCTACATTTAGTTTATTTATGAATTAGTCAACCTATTATTTTTATTTTATACAACAAATAATGATTTTGTTTAAAAATAATCAACAGAAATTCAAGTTAATTTTAAATAAATAAGTGTAAAACTGATTTGGTATGAAGAAATTAGAGAAAATAACAGGAAAAAAAGATCTTTCCTAAATTCAAAAAAATCTAATTTTCATTCTGATTATATTAGTTACTTTGAAAAGATGCTTAATATTTATTTTTCATTATTCCACATAAGTATAGTATTCTTAAATGTAATCTATATTTTATATTTATCATCAGATTGCTATTGAAATGCTTTGATAATATTAATATCTCATGAAACAAAACTATTTTCTATAGGTGTAGTTCTGCGAGCATACATTTTATAATGCAAACACAATATCAATGTATCTTAATGTATTAACATTATATATTCAATATAAAATTTATTCTTATTTTGGAAGGAAAATTATTACAAGAGTTTGTAAAATAAAAAAATAGGTATTTAAAGTACAAAGGTTTTTTAGTAGTATTCCAATATTTTTAATGGGCAAAAGAAGTGAAAACAGAACTTTGAAGTACATGAATCTTAAATATAATGTTAAGGAATTAAAAGATGTGGCTACAAAGTCAAACTCCTTCACAATCTCAAATTATACATTCTCCAAAGTATTCAAAGTGATGACAGTAAGTAAATACTTCATCATCTAAGTACTCATCAAGGTTAAAGTTTGGATAGAAAGAATGAAGAATATATATTTTGCTATCAAAATAGCTAAAAGACTTCTAAAATTGTGCTGTTTGGTGTTCATAAGTGAAACTCAAATATCTCTTTACTTATGCCTCCTTTCTTCTGATGTTATGTTTAACAAAACATGCAAATTGAAAGTTAAAATTATTTTATTTTACCTCAAATATGAATACAGCTAAAATTTTCATAGCAAATAAAATTTCCTAAATTATAATTGATGTATAAAAGCTTATAAAAATATGTTACTATATATTCAAAAAATACTGTATCCTTTAGTCATGGTGCCTTATGACAAAATGCAATCATATCTTAAAATATTTAAACTCTTCCACTGAAATATACGTGCAGTCAGCCCCAGAGAAAAATGTGTCCCTGTGTAGGCAACTGCCCTGAGGAATGTATTATTCCTTCTGGATTACTTTTTTCCCTCGAGGTAATATTGTCATTAAAAAGATGAACTGATTTTCTACTCCCAGGGGAAAATACATGGTGCCCAGAAAAGCTTTCTAAATAGATAAACACCTCACCAGACTTAAAAAAACCGGGATCATATTCGTTGAAAATGCCTGAAAATTTCACCAGCATCTCCATTAGGGCATACCCTGAACTTTAAAACAGTAATGTAAGTGCAGAGCAGCAACAATTACTTTTCTTATTATTTTTGAAAAATGTAACCAATTATACTATCAAAGCAAAATAAATAATTACAATTAAAGACTGGGAAATGAGTTTTATGCCAAAGTTCTCTAGTCCTATTTCCATTTTTTTCTTAACTATCTGAACTTAATTAAAACAAACATAGACTAAAAGGGAGCCATTTGGAAAATATTTTCTGTGTTTAGCATAAATATATTTAAATATCACTAGTAGCATCCCAATGGTTTTCCAAAAACTTTCATGCCAAAGTACTAAACACTCACCTGATATCCTTATCGACATTTGAGCCATCTTTGCAGTTTATGTCAAGATAAATGGCGTTACGATGGAGCACTCAAGAAGTTTTTGATATTCACTAAATTCACCTTGGTCTGCAGACATCTACAAGTACATATTTGTTAATCCATTAGGTGCTTACTGAATGCCAGGCACAATTCTAGAATATGGTGATAGATAAAACCATTATCCCACTATCTGTTTGTTTGTTTATATAGTAAATATTAACTGAAGCATTTCCTATTTTATTTACATTGTGTTTGGCCAATTAATTAGGAAGAAAAATTTGTGGTCAAAATAATTCTGGTTTAATTGTCTTGCATGGAATGGAAACAACATTTGTAAAGAACAATGCAAATGTTGTAAATTGTAAAATGATTTTCACTAAGACCTTTTCATTAGGTGTGAGTACCAGCTTGCTGCACTTCTAAAATCTTTCAAGATATTAGCTTTAAAGTACTGAAGTTTCTGTTCATTAATAGAGAAGGTAATGATTTATTTATTATGTTTATAGTGGACTTGTCATTGCTACCATTTTAAATTTTAATCATTAGAATTCTCTATTTATAACCCTGTATAAAGGTTCCTCTAAGCATCTAAGGAGGATCTCAGATTGTCACTGAGACTAGTAAATAGCAGTAGTAATGATATTTGAAAATGTTAAAAATATAAATAGTTTTATTATTGGATTAACAGCCAAATTTATACCACAGCAGATAAAGGAAACTAGAACAACTTATATTATTAATCATTAGGTATAAGAGCAATTGCTAAATTTAGAATATTAAAATGGTGAGTGACATATTGCATATTTATTGTACCTTTTCCAATTAATTCTGCAAAGAAAGGCCAAAGATCTTTAGATATTGTAAGTATGTTCAGTATTGTTTGAATTAAAACTGGAACAATGGAAATTACCTCACACATAACTTCAAAATGTGTTAAAAGCAAATAAAATAAGCAAATAAAACTTATCTAATTTAGAAAGGTTACTCAATTTTTTGAGAAATAAATACTGATGATACATCTTATTAAATGTACTGAAAGCTCAATGTTATTTCAAAAGGTAAAAATATGTAAGAAAGTCAAGAAAACTAAACTAGTAAGTTCTTTCTTTTTCAAGGGTGTCATACTTTTAAAGTTGCCATTAATTATCTACAAACAATTATTTCATTTTGTAAAATAAAAGTTAATGGAGAAATTAAATGTTTTGAACTAATTATTTTACAAATATTAGACACATACGCAGTAAGAGAAAGATGTTTTCTCTAAAAGATATAATCATCCCTTTCATAGGTGCATAATGTAAATAACAGTAATAGTTAATTATCATGTTGCTGATTTTAGAGTCACAGTTGTCATACACCTAGTAGAGAAAACTTAAAATCTAAATTTCTTTCAGCTGTTCATAAACCAAGTTCATTGGATTCATTTTTACAATTGAAATTAAAGCAGAGACACAAAGAAAGTTGCCAAAGACACACCATCAATCTGTGGTGGACAAAGAAACTTAATTCGGAATAACAGAATCACCATTTTAATGTTTAGCCATTGGCTATCATTTGATAAAAATAACAGCAAATACTTCGCACCTCTTATTTTCTCATTTGAAGCACAACCTATACTTTCAGTGAGGCAAAAAGCTAAGATGATGACTAAACCAAATCAACAGTGAAAAAAAATCCAACTTATTATATATTTATATAGAAACATACATAATAGCAATATATAAAGCTAAGTAACATTTTGTTATAAAAAGGATAGAGGAAATAAAATCCAAAATTATTTTAGATAGTATTTCAGTTTTTTGTCTCAAGAAAAACAATCTTAAAAGGAAACAAACATATTTGGAGAGTTTGAGAATTTCATTACATTATCTTTTACTTCCTGTAGGTATATATCTATTTACAAACAACCTCTCATGGACACAGTAAGCAATGGTGAAGAATATATTACTTCTACTCATTATTTTGTTCAAAGACATTGAAAAAAAAATGGCCATTCTGTCTTCTCCCATTTAAAAAAGTTTTGGTCTTAATTCTATCGGATCAGATTTTCCAAATTATACCTGTCATCCTAAAAGTGATTCTCATATTTGATGTTTCACATATTTCCAATGAATTGGCCATTTACACTCTTGTCAAGTATATGAGCAGTTGAACAGTTTAGGAAAAGCTTCTGTGTATGCTGCAATTATAATTTCCCTTCTGTATTCACATACCTCTTAAATTACTGCTGCCACTTCCCTTATGATGTCCAGGGGCTGTGAGAGATAGTGCATTTTACAAAATCACCTAAACAGGAGTAATTTCATCTCTGGGAGACTCCAAGTCACTGTAAATGGTTAACTTTAACACATATATTTATATTTCAAATACAATATTAATATACAGCATACCAGCTCCCCCTTTTCATGTAAAATTATTCATTCTCGTGTTTATTATATTTGTTTTATTTCCTTAATATAAACCTACATAGTATTTACTACCTCGTATATCACATATAAAGCTTTGATAAACTCTGAGCTCCCCAAGAACAATATCTAAAAATCCATGATTATGATAGATACATTTTAATATTAGAGGAACAAATTTTATTTAATCATGATTGAAAGTTAAAATACACTTATGGTCTAGCTGGTAATGTAAAATTATTTGAAGTTTCTAGGTTAAGACAATATGGAAATATGGAAGCTATTCATCTAGCCTAAAATCATTTGAATTCAAAATTTTTTTTAAAGGAAATAAAGCTGATCTGATCAAATAAAACAGATTGTTCAGGAGTTACCACATGAGTCATCAGTCGGCAACCAAGTTTCTTAATGTTTGTAAGCAGGCAATAGTGGCATTTTGTAAACTATATTACCTACCCTGTCAACAAAAGTGTGTAATTTAAAATATACTAAAAAAGAAATTGCCACCTTTATGTTTTAGATGTTGTGTATTTAAAATTACTAATGAATCACAAATTCATAGTAACAATTTAAAATCCCCATCCCCTTATTCACACTAAGTCCTGCTTACATAGTTCTTGATTGCCATGTTAGAAATTGAGTCATATTTTTATTTTAATAATGTGGGGGATGTCATGAATTTGCCTTAGGATATTCTTAAAATTCTTTTGTTAGCAAAATAAAGAGATATATCACCTTCTTTTTTTTTTCTTTCAAAAAATAACAGAGAGGTAGGGGACAGTGGTAGAATGATTCAGTTGTGAGAATTAAAGGCAATGATAGAGACCATTTTCCATGTGTCTGACCTTGGGCACAGAGCTTCTAAATGAAGAGACTAGGCCAAAACCAATAATAGGACAACGGATGACTCAAGTACATGCTATGCAAACAAATACCTTCTCTGGGGTAAAAATTCTTAAAGGAAGATGAAATTTGTTGTTAAATTACAAGTCAAACATAGTGAAAGCCATATGAAATTAGTGATTTCCTAAAATGCTTACTTTTATAGAAAGACCCTCTTTAATTTTCTGTATATATATATAAATTATATATATAAAATCTTGGAGAGGATATTTAAAATTTATAATCTGGATACTCAATAATTATGGTTTAACATTCAAAAAACGAATTTCCAGTGAAATACTACATTTTCATCTAAGAATTAGGGATCTTTCATCATAATTGGGTAACAAATATATCATTATACTGATTGAATGGGTTTAAATGACAGTCTGGTGAATGATTTTGAATATTCTCTAAAATTAGTAATTTCTGGATCTCAATATTCTCATTTGGATGCACCCATATATATGCTCATGGTCACTAGCTTTAAAAAATTGGGATGATTATATAATTGAGGTATATTGTTTGAAAAAACATAATTATAACTTAACTAGTGGAAATTTATAGCTTCATATTTTAATATATGGTACCTAAATGCTAAACAAAAATAAAACTGTGAAGGAACCCTATTATGTGTATTGTATATCTTATGAAACTTTAGCAAGGGCAGATTTCAGCTATATAAAAAAAAATATATACCATTAACTTTATATTTTGAAGTGAAAATTTAAAGTAGATATTAAAACAGAGGATTTAAATAAATTTGATAGCTATAAGTCTTTCACTATTATTAGAATTTTCAGAGTGATACACCCTTTTGACTTTGGATGTTAATATAGCAAAAAATATTCTATGTTTATAAAGTTAAAAGGCATATTTTTTGTGTGGATAATTTATGTAAATATATTATTACAGGTGAGATATATTTATTGGTCAAGTTTTCATTTTTATATATCAATTTTTAAATTTAATATTTAAAACTGTAGTCTGCATATCACCGATGAACTTTTCATGCATGAAACATGCTAGTCAGAGTATTATAGTATCCTAAAAGAAATTTGCTAATCAGTTAACCTAGGATTACTGACACCCTTCAGATTTTGTTTCAATAGGCAGGTACTAAATTGAAAATATGCAGAAATTTTGGTTTCAATATCCATTATTATGTATTGTTTTTAATGAAGTATACAATAAGATTTTTGAAAAGTGTGTTAGTTGAGAATGCTAGAAATGATCACTAGTAGTAGAAATTAATTTGTCAGTAAAAATCTAAAATATGTACACTCCAGAACACCAAAAACCACAGAATTTTGCTGCTCGCATAAATATATATGAATATAAATATGATTAAATATTGAAGTATTACAATCAAGAAAGAATTGAACTTGTATGTTAATATCTTGAAAAAATTATTTAAATATACAAATCGCAAATAAGTTTGTCAATGTGGACCAGGTATAAATGAGTCTTCAAAATAAAGCCACAATGTCATCTGTGCATATGTTAAACTAAAATTAAAAACAACAAAAATGAAAAATATCCTTCAAAACAATGGTTCATAACTTCTACTTTTAGAAACATGAAATTTTAAAGTATATACATGTTTATTTTATAATAGAAATGTACAATATTTCTTCATGATTACTAATAAAGATGCCAAAAAAAAAAAAAAAAAAAAACCTCAGTGGAAGATTTCCATTCAACATATCTCTATGACTATTACTTGACTATTACTTTCTTGTATAAAATGACTCTACTAACATCTAATAAAAATGGATCTGACATACTTAGCATTGTGCAATATATCATAACATTTTGTTTAGATCTCTAAAAAATCAAATTATTTTATATTTGCATTACATCAACTTTCTATAAAATATTTCTATTTTAATCTTCAGAAATTATTTTAGGAAATAGTCTAAATCTCTCAAACTTGGAGTTAAATGTTGTTCTTTTAATACTAGTACAGTTTTTATAATGCTAGTACAATTAACACCAGAAGTATTTGACCTGTGCTAGTAAGCCATGGTCTGCTAAAACCGGAGGAAGAAAAGAAAAGTACTGTATTATTGTCACATTCAAAAATTTTACTGCATCAAATTTTCTGTCCCCAATCTAACATTCCTAAAACATTAAAATAAGAGTATAATTTGAAATCCTTGAAAATATTAAAATGTAAAAAAACTTGGGAAAAATGTGTGTGTAATAACTCCTTGATAATCCATCTATTTTTGTATGTCATATACATGCTACATATATTCATGGAAATATATATGGTTAGTCATAGAAAGGCATTACATTGAATTGAAATTAATAATTATAATGTACAGCTGCAATATCAATGGATATAAAGTTTATGAGGATATAGATGTTAGACAATTATTTTTAGGCACATGACTAATGTCTATCCAACTACTTTAATTTTATTCTCACATATTTATTTGCAATAGTGGAGAATCTCAAAGGGTTTGTAGAAACTTATGCATAAATAAAACTGTTAATATGGTACAGTTTATACTTTTGCAACATTTTATTCTCTTTGAAAATTAATTAATTAACTGTGCCTGGTTCTAGTATTTAAATCTGTTGCTTTGATGTTCCTAGTTCCTTTTTCTTAGTGTAAAATTTATTCTTAAAAGTAGTCATTCCAGGTATCTTGCCATGCCTGCAAATATCTTAAATTGGAGCCATCTGAAAAGTGCAAGAAGAGCACATTTCCAAATGAATTGACAGAATATTTGTGATTTGCTATGTTATCATTAATCTGGAGTCATGTGACTTTGGGAACCATCGATGGAACTCTTCAAATTAAATAGCCAGATTTTGGCATTTCAAACTAGGACTAAACTATGTTCACTCTTTCCCTTGCCTTATTGAAAAATAATGAAGAAAAAAGATAAAAAAGAGAAAGGAGGGAAGGAGCAGATGTAAGGAAACAAGAAATAATAGAATAGAAAAAGAAAATAATGAATATTAATTTGAATATTTTGCCAACAAAACAAGGTAGTAACACAAATATAACTAATACCTAAGGCCAGAAACTGCGATCTTGGATTAAATTCTTAAATGGTAACTTTTTTCACAGTACGTGTGGATGTTCTCATTACAAACTAGTTTGATTTTCTTACTAGTATTGAGGAAACAGTGGTGAGGAACAGACTTGAGTTCCCAGGAAATTTGTCAAAAATTTCCACTTTTCATGTGTAAAGGTGATAATCTTCACTAAACAGAAGACATGTTCCAAGTCGGCTATCTATGCTAAGGTGGTTTAACTTACAACTTCAATCAATAGTTTAGCTGTAAATGATTTTTTATATTAGCATTCAAATTATCTACATTTTCTTGGAATATGTTTATTTTTTCTTATATAATTTAAGTATTTACATTATAATCACATAGACATAGAAATAATATTTTGTAATATCTACCTCTAAATATATGAGATTTATGCAACATATTAAATCGAACAAGCACAAAGAGTAAGCTTAGTGTGCATCCAAATTTAATTGGTGCCTGAAACATTACATATTTTCTTCCTCAAAATTCTGTGAAGAGAATTTTCTTACTCCAGTCATATACTACTGATATGCCCATTCCAATTATCTACTCAGTGAGCAACTTAAATCAACAAAAATCAAATATTCAACACTATACAACCTATATTCTAATTTATGAGTTAATGTATTAGCAGGAAGACGTTGGTAGGAGAAAAATGATTCATTTTTTAATTCTGTGCAGTTTCATGATTCTGAGATGATAAAAAATTTTTCACATTTATGAAAGTCAGGATGAATTTACTTTTATTTTCTTAACACAGTGGGAAAATATAATATAAAAATTAAGGGGAACTTCTAAAAATCAATCTATAAATGTTATTTTGAAGATTAAAATAAAATATTGGACATCTTAGGAAGAGTAAGATAGAAATGAACCACCTAAAGGGAGTATATGTGACAAAATGATGTAAAATAATGCTGGTTTTACAATAAAATTTTGTAAATCTTTGAAAAATACATCACTAAACTTTCTTTGAAAGTTACTTATATTGCCCAGAACTAAGTCATTAATTTTATGTAATTCTTATCTTTTTATTTTATGCACCAATTAAGAAATAAAACTAAGTTACATGGAGGATTCCACTTTACATTTATATTTTATAATTTATAAAACTGTCATATCTATATATAATAAGGTTGAGGAAGTGATACTGACATTAAAAAAATAACTTCCTGCTGCTGTGAAGAATAATACCAATCTCAATTTTGAAGTCAAATGCTAGTATTTTTTTTTTCTTTTCTAATCTTGGATCTAATATAGAGGAGGTAGATGAAGAGCAAGCAATGCACTTTTCTTCATGATAATACCATGACATTATTAAGCTTATTCCTTTCCCCTTTGAAAAAAAAATTAGAAAGGAAAATGTTGCAAAGAATATGAACAGCTTACTGTACTTGGTCAATGTAGCATTACAATTTGTTTTTTTTTTAATCCTCCGGGAAACTGGTACCACCTGTTCAACCTGAATTCAAGTAGTTACTGTCAATTTTCTCATGGGTGAATGCTGCCTCTTTGTGGCAGAATGCCATGGAAATTGTTCTTTAAACACAAAGTTCATGAACAGCCCTTGATATTGTACAAATTCCAGGTGAAACTATGGGGAGATCCACCTATAGCAATGAAGCACATAATTGAAACATTTCTTATCCTTAAATTGTGTCTAAACTCACTAGAAAACCTTATTCAAAGATGACGAGCTCATATACACCATTTTGAGCATTTAGAATACTGATCAACTTTAGATAAGGAATCCATCATAACTGTTGAAGGTAGTTTTACACAAATTAAAAATATGAAAACTATGGAAAACTGTAGACTGAATAAATAATACTGATATGACAATTACATTGTATTAAGAGAAAAGTGAATATGCGATATATTACTTACCATGCTCCACGTAGTAGATGAATACTTCAGTAAGGAAAGAGTGTATATAATTGAAACTGCATTAATAAACACATTAAGCGACACATTTAGAAAATCATACTTCCCTGAACCAACAAAGGAATAAATTACTTATATATGTCATGTATGTTATATATATATATACTATATATAGTATATATATACTATATACTATATATATACTATATACTATATATATACTATATATACTATATATATACATATATACTATATATACTATATATATACTATATATATACTATATACTATATATATACTATATACTATATATACTATATACTATATATATACTATATACTTTACAATTTTGCTAATTAGGGGAAACACATTTTGTATTAGGAATAAAGTTTAGGAACTATTTCCTAAATTGTTAATGATGGAGATTCTATCAATCACACATAGTTAAGTCTTTTGCACCTTAAGTAATCATTACTTCCATCCCTCATATTTGACATAGTTATCAAGTGTTTATTCAGAAACTATTTAAAAAATTACATGTGCTGGGATACATATGAGACTGTAACAACAGTAGCCCCATCTTACAGATATCCTGTTTGTCATTATCATCATTGCTTGCTGCCCACAGGGATAAAGACATTGTATAGAGACTTGTACAGTCCATGATTTGGTCTTCTGAGGTGCCAGTACACGTGGATCTGTACAAATGCAACTGGGTTTGGTTAAACAATCGAAAATCGGCTACAATAGTAGTCAAATGAACATGTCATTTTGGTTCATTAATAAAAATACTTTCAAATATTTTCTAATAAAACCCAAAACTTGCAAACAATTCTCTCGGAATGGCCCAATCAATTGCCCTATTTTTTAAAATACATTGGGATACAATCAGCTCTGTTTTCTTAAAAGAAAATGCAGATTCAATTGGGTGGGTTGCATTGGCTTTTAAAGATTTAGCCATTAAATTCTCCACATTTTGAATGATTGAAAATGCCTTCCTGATACCACGTCAGTTTTAGAAATGCAGATCCTAATACAGTGTGACACCTCTGCAAAATCATAGGCTAAATAGTGAAGGAAAGAGGAATGCTAAATGTGCATATAAAAATAGGTGCTACAATAAAATATTTGTATATTTCATCAATAAGTTATTTTGACTAATCAATTATGGATCATATAGCTCTGTAATTTTAATGATTTGTCCACATCTATGGTGATCCTTTACAGGATCACAATACTTTTTTTTTAATTCAAATGTCCAGAATGCATACAAACACATCCTTTAAAAACAAAGAAAAGGAATGAGAAGGGAGGGGAGGGGAGGAGAGAAGGAGAGGGGCGGAAAAAGAGAACAAATTTCCTATTAAAGTTGGGGTGTGCTAATTTCTCCACAAAAGCCAGTTAGACCCACCCATGGCTTAAAAGGGGAGAAAGAGAGGTGGGGCAGGGGCGGGGGAGGGGGAGGAAGCAAAAGAGGAAGAGTAGAATCTATGCTCTGCCATCATCCACCATTCTTAGCACTTCCAACCACTACAAAAATGACTGTGACCTTTCACAGGTCACCCGCGCAGCAAATTGGCCTCCTTAAAGCCCTTCTCCACACCTGCCCCACACGCAAGAAGAGAAAGTGATGTGCCCAGTTTACACAAATGTTTCCCACGTGTAAATTTTAAAGGAAATTGCACACCCTTTTCGTATCTTCCACCGAAGCTGAGAAATCCCGTGCCAAGGCACTTCACCCTAAACGTTGAAACAACACAATTAATCAAATGTGTTCACTGTGTGTGTCTGCTTGCTTGTTTGTTTTAAATGCAAAAGCTCCAAGAGAGTTTCTTTGCTTTTAGAACTGGCTAAACGTGGTCTGTTTTTCCAGCACTTCGAGGTAGTCCGGCTCAACGTTTAGTTTTGCTTTTAACTCCAGATATTCGTTCCGGTTGGGTTCTACAAAGACAGCACTCGGGGGGCTGTAGAGCACCGGTTCCCGTAGCCTGCTGTCCCCTGCCCCCGGGTGCAAATACTGATGGGGGCGTCTCAGGTCATAGTTGGGGGAGAAAGTGTAAGCAGCGGGGCTGCACGGGAATTTGGGATATTCCGGGAGGCTATTGCCGGCGGGGGTGGTGGAGCAGTGTTTGTCTGGTTCTAAAATGCCCCTGTAAAAGCGGTCGGCGTCCTGCACCGGCGACAGCAGGTCCTCCCGGGGCTCGATGGTGCTGACGCTGTAGGCGGGGCTCCGCAAGTGGTGGCTTTCCCGCCTCTCCTCCTCCCCGGGCTGCAGCTGCAGCTGCGGCGGGGGCTGCTGCTGTGGCTGCTGCGGTGGCGGCGGCGGCTGCTGCTGCTGCTGCAGGTGGTGGTTGCTGCTGTAGGTGACCTTGAGCTCGTGCAGGTCTTTGTAATCCTCTACGGAGTTGCCCTCTCGGGAGCGGTAGATGGGGTTTTTGCACATGTGGCCCAGTGGGTGGGGGATGTATTCATACACGTGGCCCGCGGGCGTCTTCACCTTGGGCAGCGCGGGCCCGCGGTGATGCACGTGCGCGTGTGGGTGGCCGCCCGTGCCGCCGCCGCCGCCGTACACGCTGTACTGCATGTTAAAGGAGCTCACGTCGGAGTTGTTGGTGCTGGTGTGGTCGCTCTGGTTCTTCTTCCTGCGCTTCATGACCAGCACGAAGAGCCCGGCGGCCACGAAGACGGACATGATGAAAACCAGCAGGAGGCTGAGAATTAACACAGACAAGGGCACCGACGACGCCCCTCCGCCTGCGCCCAAGCTCGCGGGGGCCCCGGTGCTATTCAACCGGACCGCAGGAGTCACGGCGCTGGTCCTCGCAGGGACCTGGATAGAGGAGGGTGTGGGCGTGGAAACTACTACATCTGAATAGTCAGGGCACAGCAGCTCCGACTTAATGGAGCGCATGTCGGTCTCAGCGAATTTTTTGGGCGCCTTACAGATCACCTCGTCCACTAGGACGCCCACTTTGAGCTGCTCCACCCACAGCTTCATGCCCACAATGTCACAGGTACAATCCCAAGGATTGTCATGCAGGTCGATTTGGATGAGTGACTTCAGCTGGTCCAAAACTCCACTCACTGGCAAGGAGGTGAAGTGGTTACTCCTCAGGTTTAGCCTGAGGAGGGTCAAGCCAGAGAAGACGCCTGAGGGCATGGCCTGCAGGAGGTTGTTATTCAAGAATAGCAGCTGGAGGTTTGGGACCGGGTCAAAAGTTCCAGACTGAATCTCGCGGATGAGATTGTACTGGAGGAAGAGATACTGCAGGCTCTGCAGGCCATAGAATAACTCCGGGCTCAGCCTCTCGATCCTGTTGCCATTCAGGTAGAGGCGCCTCAGGTTGGTGAGATCCCCGAAAGCGCGGTCCTGGATCATCGAGATGCGGTTATTCCCCAGGTGCAGGAGGTCCAGCCCCGTGGCCTCCAGGAAGTCTGTCCTGCGCACGACAGCGATGTAGTTCTCTGTCAGATACATTTTCTTGGGATTGTAGGGCTTGGGCTGCAGTTCAGCGATGCTCTCGATCTTTCGCTCCTGGCAGTTTACGTTGAGGCCCAGATCAGAGATCTGCAGGTTGCAAGAGCACGCGGTGGGACACTCCAAAGGCACCGGGGATTTGGTCTGATAGGCGATGCTGGGGCCATAGTTGCTGTAGCCCAAGTCCTTAGAGGGCTGCCGAGAGGTGGGGCGCACCCTGGGCTTGTTGGGTTGGCGAGTCCCCTTAGGGGGCTTCAAAGGGGGTTTGTAAACAGCAGAGGAAGAAGTGGCCACAGAATTCACTGACGCCGGGGTGGTGTGTAAATACCCCGTGGTGCTCAAAGGCGTCTGCGGCCTCATCTCGTAGTCAGAAATAAGTCTCCTTGGGCAAAGTTCCTGCTTGGATACCTCGTCCAAGTCCCTTCCGTGTAAGCGGAAGGGGGTCTCACAAACTACATCCCCCACCAGGGCTGAATAGGAGATGCTGTCCAACCAATCCTTTAGAGAGATCAGCTCACAAGAACAATTCCAAGGGTTTTCCTCCAGCTGTAGCTCCACAACTTTATCCATGTGCTGCAAGAGCCCCACGTAGGGCAGAAGTTTCAGCCGGTTCCCCCGGAGGTCCAAGTGCGTTAAGGGCACAAAACGGAAAAGATTGTTGGGTAAACTGGACAAAAGATTGTCATTGAGGATAAGCACCTGCAACAAATGCAGTTTCCCAAAAGCATTGGGTTCAATGACGCTGATGTAGTTGTAATCGACCTGTAGGTACTCCAGGTTCTCCAAGCCAAGGAAGGTATCATCTCGCAGAAGTTCCAGTTTATTATTGTTTAGATGCAATCTCCTCAAACCCCGTAGCCCATGGAAAGCCCCGGTCTCAATGTCCTGGATAACATTGCTACCTAGATGCAAAATTGAAGCCCCAGTGTAATTGACAAACTCATTGGGATAGAGACGGTTCAAAAGGTTTCCGGACAACAAGAGGTGGTAGATTGGGAAACGGGGAGGGCTAATTTCAGAGAGACTGATGATCCCCCGGTTTTCACAGCTCACAGTTAAAATGCCGTCCTTTTCCTCACAAGGACATGCATTGTCACAGATTTCCCCATAATAATCGATGGTTTCTGCACACGAAAGGACGAGAGATGTTACAGCAAACGCTAGAGTCTGCAGCATCCAGCTATGCATTTTTCTGTGAAGGTCCTGTTCCAAAGTTACTGGGGGGCAGCAAGTGTGCATTTTACCTCCTGTAAGGGAGAGAGAAAACAAGGAAATAACAGAATATGACAAAAATTTAAGGGATCAGTCAGAAAGTCTCTCTCTTTCTTAACATTATTACTCTAAAACCCAAAAGGAAGAGATACAAATGACACACCTCCCCAAGTGAAACATTGACATTCTCTAGATTTTATTAAAATCTATTATACATTTTGATTTAAAGGTTGATTAATTTTTTTAAATGAGCACACCACAAATATGCTGCTCCTTACAAGATAAGAGCAGGTTAGATAAAGTCCCATTTTAGTTTTCTCTTCTCCCCCCCTTTTCAAAACCAATCCATAAATATACATAAAATGGCTGTCAGTTCAGTTTCATGGTTCTAATTTAAGAAAAAAGAAGCACCATTTTACAAGGTTCCCCACCTCACCTATACCCAGCCCCCACCCCCCCTTCTTTCTTTCAGAGCCTCTTCAGTTAACAGTTCACCGTGAAGGTCTCTCATGTTCACAGAGAGGCAAGGAGCCAAAATACTTGGGGTATTTTAAACCATCGCTAGAAATGCCACGGTGGGAACCTAAAGGATACTTTTCAGAGGCAAAAAGGCTGTAATATAATGCATCAAAGGAGCCCCAAGAAGCTCTTAAATCACCAATTGTCTCCCGGAGCTTTGAGTAAGGAGAAAAAAGGAGAGCGCATTTGCTTTGATGGTGGACTTCACTACCACGCTATTAAAGCACATCAGCGTCCTAATTGCATGCACGGTACCACTTAGCAGCGCTTCCCGGAGAGCGCCCTGCGACCACTTCTCATTGATCATGTCAGCGACGCTACCAAACCGCATCTTTAAGCCACTGAAATAGTTCTGCACGATGGATTACAAAGAACTCAGCGAAGGTATCCGCAATCTCCGAATACCTCCCGATGCCTAGAGTTTAAAAAGGACGTTCCTACCGCTTACCGGGAATCAGTACACCAAGGATCAGCACGAAAGCCTCCCTTACCTTGGGCTCCGCGTCTATTTGCAACGGTAATAGCAAGGTTTGCACGGAACTACCACCTCGACAGCATCCCCATCTTTGGAGTTGCTTATTACATTTAATTGTTAACGCTCCCCTCTCTCTTTTTTTTAATCTCAGGGAAAGGACGCCTGGGCTGATTAAGAGGCAAAATAGAAAGGTGGGAGGAAGAACTGTAAGCGACTTAGGTCAGTTGTTTAATATCCGAATTTCATCTCCCACAGGAATCAATATGACCCCCTCCCCCTTTTTTTTCTTGCTCTCTTTTTGTCCCCTTGAAGGCTTCCTTCCACTTCCTACTTCTGATCAACAGCAGCACTCTTAAAGGAAGGACATAAATGGAATGAGCGTGTGTGTGTGTGTGTGTGTGTGTGTGTGTGTGTTTGTGTGTGCGCGCGCGCGCATGCTGCGTTGGTTAATGGGGTGGAGGACATTTGATAGAAATGCTGGACTCTAGGAACCTATGCCTTTTCTCTGGTCAACCTTGCCTTTGCCTCACTACCGAAGTCTAATATCGAATTGCAACTCCAAACTAAAGCCAAGATGTTTCCGAGACAGCGGGTTCAAGCCTGGAGACCTTGCTCCTGATCCCCAAGTCGACTCCAGCCCGCGTTATTAAACGCCCCTGCATTCAAACGCACATGTATCAGTGTGCCTGCGAATCATTCACGTGTGGCCACCCAGACGTGTCGAGATGAATTGGAACCACAGTGCATAAACCTCGCAAGTATCCCCGACCTCCCAACGCAACGGTAAACGTCTCCCGGCTTAAAAGCGGCAAAAACATCCCCACCCCAGTGAAAGCAAAACGTTTACCTTGAAATTTCAGTTCTCCGCTGGATCAAATCCGCACATCCATTCAGCGAGGTTGGGTCCCCTCCCCCTCCCTCCCTGTGCTTCCCCGCCCCCATTCACCTCCCACCCCATCTGAAAGCCCATTGCAAATTCAGTCCAGCCAGTATTAAACTCCAGCGTTTACAACTTTAATTCAGTTCTAGTTAGCAAGGGTCGAAGAGCTTCCTCTCAACCCACTCCCTTCCCCCTCCTCCTTGCTAGCAAAGGAGACCAAAAATTTGAGAAAATAAAGTTGAATGAGCCTGGGGAGGCTGACATTCTGACGGGGAAACGCACCTCCGATGCAAATTCGCGGGTGCGCTGAACATTCTCAGATTCTCAGATTTTTTTTTTTCCTGGAGGGCGGGGGCGGGGGAACTATTCATTTTCTCCCAAAGAATTTAGATACTGGATCACCGCCCTGTACGTCCCTGCAGTAAGCAGCATGGAGCCTCTCGGACTGGAGCCCAGCACCCAGGCCGCACCGGAGGCTCCGGGCACAGCTGCTCAAGCAGCAGCCCAGGCAGAAGCACCCGGAGTTCCAGGACGCGAGGCTCCCCCTCCCCCACCCCGCCCCAAAGAGAAGGAAGGGAAAACGGAGGAAGAAGGGGAGGGAGGAGAGGGAAGGAAAACCACCCCGCCACATAGACACACACACACACACACACACACACACACACACACACACACACACACACACACCTCTTTTGCAAAGTAAACGATAGACTTACCCAGTCTCACATCTCCAAGGCCCAGTCATCATAGCCACCCTTTAAAAACACACACATACACAAAAACCCTCTTTGGGGTATGCACTAGGTTTCTCAAGCCCAGGCAGGGCGAGGAGACTGCGAGCAGCGCAGTCCCAGAGGCTGGAGGAAAGAGGCGCCCGGACGCCTCCAGCCTGGGGCCGCCGCCGCGGTGGCGACCGCGGGTTCCGGGGCTCCCCAAAAGGCTCTCCCCGGTGCTCTCCGCGGTAGTCGGAGCGGGCAGCAGGGTTGGGGGGTGGAGAGCGGGGGGCGTTCTGCAGCGGCGGGATAGGGAGGCGGCGGGAGGGGGCGGCGGAGGTCCGGCTGGAGAGGCGCCTCGCGGTAGGGGCCGGGAGCCGGAGCCGGGCGGGGCGGGGAGGGGGAGCTGCTGGGAGGGGAGGCACGGAGCGGGAGGAGGGGGACGCGGAGAAGACTGCCTGGCCCCGCCGGCCCCGCCAACGTGACGGTCAGCCCCGCCGAGCGCTCGCACCCGCTCACACTCATGATCACTCGCACACTCGCTCCAATACGTGTTAAGGCGCGATCGCGGGGTCCCTGGCAGCCTTCGCTGCACCCTCCCCCCCACAGGGGTACTCACAGTTGCCATCTGCATAGGGGGCAACTTTCTCCGACCCAGCTGTGGCCGCCGCCCCCTCCAGCCTCCTCTGGCTCCTCGCACCCTCCGGCCTGGGTTCGCGCCGGCCGGCCCTCCCCTCCCCCCTCGGCTCTCCTCCTCGCCGTCTTCACCACATTCCCCCCTGGTCAGTGGCGCACGCCGGGGGACGAGCCAGAGGGAGCGGGTCGCGGGGGTGTGCATGCATCTCCCGCCTTCTTCTTGCAGCGCACACTGTACATGGTAGTGAGGGGGCGAGCAAAGGTGGCACCGGCCCCTCGGCTGCTCCAGCGAAGGCGGCGGCTGCAGCTCCTGCGCTGTCCTCCGCCCCCCAGCGCAGCGGCGACCACCGCGCTGGGATCCCGCCGACGCTGTCTCCGCGCCGAGCCCGCCGCCGCCGCGGCCCCTAATTAGTATTTGAGAGGCTCTTGCATCCCTTTGGCAGTTTCATCCTCACGGTGTTTGCAGGGTTTTTTTCTGTATCCCTTCCCCAGATGCGGCGCACAATCGTCATTAGTTGGAACTCTCTATCACCGACATCCTTTGGGGTTTCTGGGGGAAGGGGGGGGCGGGCAGCAACCGCGTCGTTCTATGCCTGTGGCTTGTCCTGGCAGCCCGGTGGCTCTAAAAAAAACTCCGAGAAAGTTGCGTCTTCCTCCCGGGCGCCGAGGAGGTGGCAACGCGGTAAGCAACACCGGGTCTCTGAGACAGCTGCTCCGGAGCGGGTGCAGGGCCCAGTCCAGTGCACTTGTTTATTGTCGCGCCTCTGGTGCGAGCCAAGCTGCAGCAGACATGATGGGCCCGGGGCGAAGCGGGCGCTCGGTGGCCGATAGATGGCAGCCGAGGGCGAAGGCGTCCCTGGGCTAGGGCGGCGCAACCGGGGCCCCCTTGGATGTCACATTCGTAGGAAGAGAGAGAAGTCTTGGACCATGTGTGTAATTCGAGCGTGGGACTGTGCAATTCTCGGATTGGGAAAGGGAGGAGTGGAAATAACCCCGGCAGTGCCAGGCTTGCTGGTGGTCAGGAACAGATGATTCCAGCCCTGTGCTGATCGCCTGCCTTCCTCCTGCCATTCAGAATGCTGCTGTCTCGTGTACTTACTGTTAAGGATCCTGGAAAAGGGAGTGGTTCCTCCTAGCTGCAAACAAGGGCGCTACTTTTCTTTTCTCTTTAATAGAATTACGTTTTATAGGTGTGTCTAGGCAACACAAGGGAATGTGAAAGACTTTCAGAGGGAATGTTTGTGAATACATCTGGTGTGTACTAAAAAGCTGGAAAACCCCTAAGTAAATGCAATATCGATAGAAAGCGAGTTTCTTGAAGAGTCATCTGCTAAACTCCACTAGAGTCATCTCTACAGTAAGTATTCTTGGGTCTTTCCATGAAACCAGACACTTCCATCCCCAAAAAGGGGTCTTTACTTTCATAAGACATGTTTTCAATATTTGTAATATTAGACCTGCCGTTCATCCCGGGTATAAGAGAAAAGTTGATAATAGTAAGTGACCCAGTGCAGGCTGAGTGCACATGTGCCTGTTCCTTTGATAACTATGTAGTTAGTTTCTCCATGTAAATATATTTTACCCACTTTATTTTGCAATTAATTACGTCTTAATTATTATTGATATTGTTTTATTCTTAGTAATATTTGGGATAATACTGTGTTATAATCTGGTTAATCATATGTTTAATATTGATATAGAGTCTGATAATATGTCTATGTTCTGAGATGTATATATATCTCAGGTGATGAACATTGCAGTCTCCTGAGGTACTGCAATCTTTTTTGAACTTTCCCCTGCGTATGTTGTGTGAATATATATATTTTTACTTTATACCATAAAAACTTTATTTGGAAGCAATTTTGTTTAAGTATGGGTTATATTCAAGGGAGAGGAAGGAAAGAAGTAATATGTAATTTCAGACAATAAAAACAAAATCTTGTAATGAACGTTTCATTAAATTTAGAAGCATTTGACCTAGGAATGATAGCCACTAGCTGTAGATACATTGCATCAACAAATATAACTTACACGTCATCCACAAAAGGCTTATTTCTGTATTTTTTATTCAGTCATTAACTTTTAACATTATATAAACATTTCAGAAAATTTATTTTAAGTTTAAAATTACTTTTATATTTTCAAAATGAAATGAAATATTTAAATTTAAAATTATATAGGAATTACAGCCAGAAGCCTTTGGAATATAAATATTGAGTCCTATCAGAAACATAATTTTCAATATCGATTAACTTTGTAGAAGTTCTTAAAGGTCCTAAATTGTCTTAATCGATTATTGATTTTTTCAAAATAGCTGAAATAAAGCTGTTATATTTTATCACTGTTCTAAATCTTTATAATTTCATTCAATAGCAAAGTTTAATTCATGGTTTTGTATTATTTTTATTTTAAATATTTATTGTTCTAATTAAAGGAAATATTATTCAACTAAGAAGTATTAAATATGTTTGGAATTAGTTTAGGTTACAGTTTTGTTAGAAACACTTATGCTAATAATCTAGTTTACCTCTTGTGGTTCAAATAAGTAAATGATGAAAACTTTCTGCCATTAACTCAACATTAAGGATGGTCCCGGAAGCCACCATTACCTTTTGCCACTAGGTGTCTCTATAAGATGCTCTGCAAGAGAATGAAATTTTAGAAAATACTGTGACTTGAACAGTTCAGAACAGAAAAACACAAGAGGGAAAACATCATAGATATAAGGAAAAGCCTCAGTTATTAATCTGTTTCTTTATTTGCATTGAATGTTGACTATTGCTTAGAAAATATATAAGTGAATTACATAAGAGTGATCAAATATGAGCCAAAACTTTTACCCACATGAACAAATGTATCTATGTTTTAGTCTATACTAAGCAACACATGGTCATATGTGTATACATGCTTTCAGACAGCACTCAGATGCATGCACTTAATTACATAGATACATTTGGCCATTGTAAAATTAAATGATTGATCAAATATATCTCCCCAGAATTAAGTCTATTAATATTAAACATTATTTGATGGAGTTGGATGTGAAAGTCACATTTGTCCAAATGTTTGCAAATATTTTTTTTTCATATTAGAATTATCTATTGAGAGGGTATCATCATAAGTGTATATCATGTAGGGAAATATATTTGACATTTATATTGTAAATATAATTGTCATTATCAATTATGGCCATAATTTGATACCTGCAAATTTAAATTTAAATTGAAAACATAAGTAGCATACTTGCCACTTAAAATTGACCATATATTTTTGTAAATTTATATTTATTAGTTTCTAGAATTATTATTTTAGTGCTTTATGAACACAGGAGGGATTCTTATATTAAGTACATTTTTTAAGATAATTCTTATCACATTTGCGTATCACTGTGTGTTATCATTAGAATTTTAAAATGCTTAGTCAAGAATTATGGTGCTTTAAGAAACAACCTAATGAGGATTATAAACAAGGAAATTCTTTATTAATCATTTCATGACTTCATAAGTATTGATCAACATCTAAAGCCAGTAGAGCTTGCAATTTGTTGTTGTTGTTGTTGTTGTTAGCCTAACTGGTGAGTTAAGATTATGGAATTCTAATGCTAAGTTTCTATTCCTCCATAGTAATGGCTAAGAAGTCTGTTCAACTCAATTTAATAAATGACACATTTTTCAAGTCTAAGTTAAAGGGCATATGTCTTTAAAGTTTTTGAAATTGAAATTATATATATATCACATTCATATATATAATTATATATAATATATGTTATATGTATATCACATATCTAAAAGGAGAAAATGAAAGTTTCTCCTGGAGGAAAATAATGAGTCACCATTTATGATTGTGTCTCTATGAAATTGCTAAATTAAATAACTGTACAGCATTTGTCTTTGACATTTTGTCTAATACATTTAAAATTAAAAACAAACATCATGCAGTTATATTTATCAAATTAAAAATGGCCAGCAAATCTAATTTTGCTGAAATTATTTATTCACTTACAGACTTAATTATTCACAGCCTTAGAAATAGACTCTCAGAGGCATTACAAAAGAATATACAAAAAATAGCCAATTTTCTTCCTTGCCTCATGCAGTTCCTTGCACATACACTCGGATATTTTTTGATATAATTACATATGAAAATATCCTTTTTGGATAACCAATTGGAAATATCTACAAAAATATATCTTTGGAACACTACTTTTTCAGAAAGTAGCCTTCAGGTGTGCCAAAGTAAGATATATAAAACACTATGTCAGAAGATATGTAACAGATGCTTGCATTTGAAAATGAGTAAGAACAAGTTAAATGTCTGACTCACTGAAAAGTCATACACATCCTTCTATACCTTAGAATACTCTTCTACTTTAAACAACAGTTTGTATAGGAATACTGTTTTGCCATTATTAGGAGTATATATAGCATTACCTATAATTTGTGAGAGGCAGACTTTTTTTCTGGAAAGAAATTAATACACACAAATCTAATAATAGTGGTTACCTTTTGGAAGAAGACTGGCGTCTTAAATAGAATGGGAATTTATTTTTCATCGTATGCTCTTTTTTTTTTTTTTTTTTTTACTATTTTTGTTTCTTACTGTTTTAGTTTCTACTACAGTTTGTTCAATTTTGCATACACATCCCCAATAAAAATTTATAAAAATGTGCACTTGAAAAATAAGAATATTTGGAGGGGTGATTTAAGAGCTTAGGAAGAGTTCAAGATGATTTCCTTAAATTAATCTCTATCCCATAGTTCTCAAATGGTTTTATTTTTCATGGCACATTATTATCACTGGAGACACTGAATACATTTCTAACTATGAGTGTCAATTAATTAGTTACAATAATTTCTCAGCATTACTCATATATGACATTCAATTCTAGCTACCAGTATCAGCTAATAGAATGGTAATTAATAGAAGCTAGCTTTGTTATCTTCACACTATTCAGAACCATGCTGTGTACTGGGAACATCAGTTTTATTTGATACTCTGGTGAGTGAAGAGGAAGATCAAAATGGCTCTGTAGAGAAGATAAGTAATTGCACTTGAAGTTGTCAGCAGCTGTTCTTTACTGTTTACTGAAGAAAAGTGAGTGTGTAGTTGTGACATTTTAAATATACAAACTATCGTCAGACCCTGTTAGAACAAAGGCTACTGCCATCTGGCTTATACTAGCATTGAAATGCACACATTCCACTGGAAATGAAGCAGTTTCACAATGTAATCAGATTAGCTTTTCTATGTAACTCTCTATTAGTGTATGATTTGTCTCTTGGGACCCATTGGTCCTTGGTTCTCACACATCTCTAGTCATTTTTAGAAAATAAGTCTAAACAGGCATTATGTTATGCCTGTGTTTTCTGGGTTATTTCTGTTGTTTTTTTTTTCAGAGAAAAACAATTAATTATCCTAAAACAGTTAAATTACAACAATTTCAGAAGAACCATTGCTAATGAAAAATATCTAAATTGATTATACTACATTCAACTTTGCCAACTGGAATCCTTCATTCATCAGAATACTCATAATCTCTTTATCCCCTCAAAATGAATCAGCCTTTTTCCCAACTCCCAACGCTTTGGTTTCCACTGCCCTTTTATCTATCAGACTTTTCATTTTTCTTTTACCTACTGTTCTAGAGAATTCTCTGTAAGTCCTTTCTCCATCTGAAAAAATCTTACTTATTCTTTCTAACAATGAAGACTGCTCATCTAAACATTCCCTTGCATTATCAAGCACTTGACCTGCACAATGCTCTATTTCTTGCTTAATGTGTTTTTTCTTCCAGACTATATTATCATTCCTTATTTTGAAAACTGTATATGGTATCCTTTCAATAGCAAGAAAAATGAGCTCCAGAAATCTCTTTGTATACACAAAATACTTGTTCATTTATGAATTTATTAATTGAACAAATATTTATTTAGCACCTAAAATGTGCTAGATCCTGTCTCTTGTATTTGAGATGAAAATAGTTGATTCATATCAGAATGCTTACAGAGATGTTTGACTTTTTGTAGATTATCTATTTTCTCTATTAAAAGTCTCTATCAAAATTAATGAACTACAATTTATGCAATAAAATTATATTGTATAAATTGTATTCTTGAATAATATTTATAGTGGCATATGTGCACCAAGCATCTACAAGAGGCTGTTCAATAGAATTTTCTGTGATAATGGAAATTAACTGTATCTGTGCGATCCAATATGATAGCCATTGGCCACATAAGGCTACTGAGAAATTGAAATATGAATGATACCTTTCTGTAGGAGGTAGCTTAAAAAAATGAAATGTGGATGATATGGCAAAGGAACTAAAATTTTATTTGTTATTTAAATTTGATTGATTTAAATTTAAATAGCCACCTGTGGCTAGTGGCTACCATTGGACAGTGCAGGTCTAGAATATAAATTCCCAGAGGATTGAAACTGTGTTTCTTGTTCAATTTCTGGGATACCTTGGAAATTCAATCAATATGAACAGCTGCACTCATAAGTAATGATGGTGATTATGACACCCTCAATAAATAAGGACAATTATGATTCACATTTGGCAAGAGGCCTGATTTGCATTCTGTTTAGGGTCTCTATTCAATTCTTTCGAATTGCATTCAATTGAAGGCCTCTACTATTCTTTTAAAGATTTCAAGGAACTTTACAAGCACTTCAAAATTCTTCATTACACCCTTATTATACCTCTATAAAGAAAGAAAGGTAGATTATTTTAAATCAATAGAATTTTATTAGAAGATAAGTGCCTTTTTATGCATGGCAAAGTACTCTCTAAAGTACTTTTCTCTAGATCACACAGTGGGATGTTAGTAGAACTGGGAAAGAAAATACTAAATCAGTATTTTGCTTCAGGAATTATCTAGGATAAGTTTTGTGTGCAAAAAAAGACTTTAAAAAAACTGCACTTGAATGTTTGTGTTCCATCTATTTTAATACGAAAACATGATTTTAAAGTTTAGTGGCTTTTTGTACAATTGGAGTGGGCAGAGTTTGAACAGCAAATTATAATTAACTAATTTATAGAATGCTAATATGGTCCCTAATTTCCATGAAAAGCTCAATAAACCTCAGTTTTAATAAAATGACATTTATAAATCTGATACAAAGACATAATGTCTTGATAATAAGTCCCATTCAGAAGTTATAATTTTTTAAGGTTAGAGTTTGTTTTTCATCAATCTATCTAAAATATTAGTTACATTAGTGACCTTTATTTCCAACAATATGCTTCTTCCATAGACAAAACCAATATAACTTCAAAGGAATTACACATTGCTGAAAGGCTTAAGTCCAAAATAATTAGGAAACCACCAGATCTCGCCATCAGTAAAGTGTTTCTCGAAGACGTTGAATTCATTCTTGGTTCTGGCTTCATATCATTTGCACCTCTGCATTAATGAAAACATTTCCTCTGGGTAGATGACAAAGTTAATGTGCTATGTCTTCAATTGACTATATAACTATCACACTGGTTAATCAAATAATAAATATTAAAATGGAAACTCCTTGGAAAATATAATATAATTATTAATCTGGTCCAGGCATGGTGGCTCACTCCTCTAAACCCAGCACTTTGGGAGGCCAAGGTGGAAGGATTTCTTGAGGCCAGGAGTTCAAGACCAGTTTGGGCAACATAGCAAGACCCCATCTGTAGAAAAATAAAAATAAAAGTAGTTGAGTGTGGTGGTGTGCACCTGTAGTTTTAGCTTTTCAGGAGGCTGAAGTAGGAGGATGCCTTGAGTCCAAGAGTTTTAGGTTGCACTGAGGTATGATCTGGCATGGGAGAGAGAATGAGAGAATGAGATCCTGTCTTTCAAAAAGAGTTTTTTAAAAAATAATTATTATTAATCTTAACTTACAGATTTTAAGTAATTCTTTTTTTTTTTTTTTTTTCCGAGATGGAGTCTTGCTCTGTTGCTCAGGCTGCAGTGCAGTGTCCTGATCTTGGCTCACTGTAACGTAACGTTCTTCTCCCGGGTTCGAGCAATTCTCCTGCCTCAGCCTCCTGAATGGCTGAGACAGCAAGCACGTGCCACCATGCCTGGCTAATTTTTTTTTATTTTATTTTTAGTAGAGATGGGGTTTCACTGTGTTAGCCAGGATGGTCTCGATCTCCTGACCTTGTAATCCACCTGCCTCGGCCTCCCAAAATGTTGGGATTACAGACATGAGCCACCGTGCCCAGCCCATTTTATTCTACTAGTTATCTTTATTTAAACAAATATTGGTAATTGGTTGGTAAATTCATGAAAAGTTACCTCTGAAAAACACACCTGTGCCAGCTCAGTTTTTGTTTAATATTAGATGATGCATTTTTATTCTGTGATTATAAATATTCCATCAATCTAATGAAGATTTTTATAGTGACACTAAATTTATAGTTATTCTCATATAGCATGCTATGATGTATGCTGCAATTTTAATTGATTATTATAATTCGTAATGAACAAATAACCAATTTTGATTTTAATCACCAGTATGAGATGCATGATTCATTCTAAAATCAATCTAGGTCTTCAACTGCTTTATTATATGAGTAGTGACTGCTATACAAACAGACTTTAACCAATTACACTACCACTTATTCATGATATCTAAGAATTTTCATATTTAAAAATACTTCACTATAGCATAGATATGGTAGCATTTAGTAGTAATGTATTACATAGAGAAAGGCAGGCTTAAATTCATTTGTCCCTCATAATAGGAATGCATTTGACTGGATTTTTTGATATGTAATGTGATGATTTTTTATCATTTCTGAGATGAAGACTTGCTCTGTCCCCCAGGCTGGAGTGCAGTGGTGTGATCTTGGCTCACTGCAACCTCCTCCTCCTGGGTTCAAGCAATTCTCCTGTCTCAGCCTCTCGAGTAGCTGGGATTACAGGCATGTGACACCACGCCCGGGTAATTTTTGTATTTTTAGTATATACGGGGTTTCACCATGTTGGCCATGCTAGTCTCGAACTCCTGACCTCGTGATCCTCCCGCCTGGGCCTCCCAAAGTGCTGGGATTATAGGCGTGAGCAACCGCGCCCAACATAATGTGACTTTCTTCAGCTATGGTTAACACAAGCATTCACAGGCAATGCACATTTTGTTTATAATTCAAAGTCAAAGGTAAATAAAATGTACACATACATACACACACAGAATCATTTACTATTACCAGACATTTTATGTAGATTGTCTCATATTTTCATTTAATTATTATAATGACTTCATGAGGTGTTATTATTACTTACAGATGAAATGCTGAGTTTCAAGGTAGTTGGTGATATTCCATATTTCATACAAACAGTAGATAGCAGACTATGCTATGAATTACACAAACTCTCAGGGTCTATTTGCCTTACCTATGTTAGTTCAAATTAATACCTTTGAACTTTGTTCTCAGTTTAAACAAAAAAAAGATACATTGATTTTCAGTAATTAGTCTCCATAGGGATACTTTCTAAGTGATTCAACACTTCTATCATGTCAGATATATTTTGAGAAATGAAACAGTGAAAATATATTTCAAAATATTAATATATACTATTGCTCTTTTAATTATTACAATAATAAATTAGATCTTAAACTGATCATGAAATATATTTATAAATAGGCTGTGGAATATCAAGGATATTATTAACTACCAGAAATTATTGTTAGAGTAATTCAAATATATAGGGTTAATAAAACAACACTTGCTTGTATACATAGAGTATGCTTTTTCCTTAAGTGGAAAATGTCTCTACTATGACATATGTTTCTTGTCTTTCAGTTTTTGACTATTAACAATTTTATATTTAATAACCCAAATGCTAAAACAAGCATTATACATCTCCTAAAATATCAATAGAAAAATGCAAATATGTATGGTTTATTTGAAGGGGAATTCCTTTCATGATTAAGTTTAGGGACATAACCTCATAGTCCTTTCTAACATAAATATGTTATGTAAATAATTTTAAATTGAAACTTTTGTGACATATTTTCTTTTTTTTTCAAAGGCATACATGTGTTAAGATAATCCCATAATTAAGTTTCTCAATAATCAAAAAAAAACTTATGGTATATTAATCACAAATGACTAATAAACCCTATAAATAGCTAAATTTTACTCTTTATTTTTAAACATCTGACAATCTTCTTGAGCATTGATGTCATGTAGTCCAATTTTGTTATGAATATTAGGCATGAATCTCTATAAAACTCAAAAAATTGAGTGTTGGTGCATATCAGTATTTTCTCAATAAAAGTATAATCATATATGAAAAGATTTGACATAATCATGAATCTCCAAATACTGAAAGTTTGTAAATATTAGGTTCATCACTGACTATCACCTCATCTATTTATATCCATGTTGAAATAAATACATGTGTAGTAAAAGAAAATACAAGTATCTCTCCACGTTAGCAATTCATGACGTTTCTGACCACCTTCTCCTAATATGCACTCAGAGAGCTGCAGGGGCACTGGAGAATGCATCTTGGAGCTCTTCCAGAAACTCTGAGTCAAAGAGCAATGTCTGCATTCACAAAGAAGCATTCACAGCTGTCAGAAGTTAAATGTCCATGAGACTCCTAGTACAGCTGCAGTCCTTCCAGTACACTGACAATGACCGTGGAAACTAGAATTTGATAACTATTTTTTTACATGGGAAAAATATCACACAAGAGTGATTAATCTAGGCCTGACTGATAATAAATAATTATGCATTCACAGCACATGAAGCATCATTGTCCTTAAAACATTACTTGGTCTGCAGTGTTTTTGCAGCTAATTTCCACTGCCAGAGAAGGTATTCTTGCTGCAATAAACTGTCAATGAACTTCTTGTAGGCAAACACCTGCAGACACCTGCTGGCAGCTGGTACATAACATTTAGGATTTCAGGAACTACAGCATAAGCCAAACCCAGAAAGCAGTACTGGGTGGGAGTGAGTGTGTAAGGGCATACATGACCAGAGGAATGCACACGTGAACAGGTATTTTCTGTCTCCATTTATACTTGATAAAATGAATAGACTGAATTTTCTTCTCAATTGTGTAATATAGCTGAGCAGACTAATACAAAAAGCAAGCAACGTTTGCAAATAAAGTTTTCAATTTGAGATAATCTATTTCAATTTATTATTAGGTGTTTTCAAGACCAATGATTACTATGTTGAAAATATTTAACCATGTGCTCTATATGTCCGTAGAGATAGGAAGTAATCCACACTTTGCATTCCTTTTTGAAAAAAAAAAAACCTTAATATTCTTTTAAAAATAGTTCTGAAAATTTCTCAATGAGATTTGATATCTCTGTTTCTGTAATAGTTTAGGTGAGGTCCAAATGGAGGTAAGTAAATTAGCTCATGTTAGATATCTATTCAACTTTATGGTTGAATAAAGGAGCCCATTTGAAAACGTATTGGTTTTCAATTGTATCAATTAGCACATCAATAGTCCCTGAATATAAAAATCTGATTCCCAACACTTAGTGAAGATTAACTTAAAGGATTTTTAAATCACTTCCCAGAGTAAGAATCATTATAAACTTTTTCAAATGTCAATTTTTTACTATGTTTTGGCCTTGTTGGTATGAGAAATGATGAAGAAAAATGGAAACCCAGTTACTTCGAATTTTAGAAGTGGCAGGGCCGATAGAAATCATGGAATACTACACTCTAGTTTAAAGGAAACAGACAGTGTAAATTCTTTAACTAAACTGCCACTCCTGTAAATAGTTACTGGCGAATTGGATAGATCTTCCAATTTTCTGCTTCCTTGGTCAGTGTACCTCACACTGAAGGAAAGTGTGTAGCTAAGTTAACCTGATAACTTATTCTGAAAAGCACAATAATAAAAATAAAACACTACCTCAGGTCCCGTGCTATGTTTTGGCAGCATTCCATGTCATTTGCATAAGACCTTTTGATACGGAATGGATTATCATAATAAATTCAGCTTGGATTATTGAAAAATTTTCTTATACAAAGTGAGCAATAGGTAAGCTGTTAAGTTTTAGTCTTGCCATGTGTGTTCACTGAGGGAAAAAAATCAAGCAGATATGTTGATCAGCTTTATGGAGATACAGTTTCTCAGAGATTAAAGTGCCTTACACGTTTGTTTACACAAACATTAATTCATGCATGTTAATTATGCTTAGGATGTCCTTACTTTGATTAGTGGACTCATCTGTACATATCCAATATCAAATAATGCATGTAAGGCCCCCTCATTTTGGATTATTTTGGTGAAGTTGATAATATTTTAACAGAAGACAATTAAAATGCAGACTCTTTCTTCTAAATGGCATTCTAGAAAGGTGCTTATATAAGGAAGTGAATAAATGTCTAAATTATATAGTGTTTTTTCTTTCAAATCATTGTTTAGGAAAAGTGACTGAAACTAAAAAAATATTTTATTGCATTTTTTAATTCGATAATTCATTATGGAAATACAATAGTTTCAAACATAGTAGTATGAGTCCTTTTGATTGTTTCATTGCTTTTTACTATATGGACTTTTGCACAGATAGTGCAGTGATTAAAAACATAGGTATGTGCAAACATTCCTTATGATTTCAATCCTATTTCTGCCTCTTAGTAGATTTAAAATGTTATTTATTGAAATAAATATCTTTGTTTCCTCATCTAAAATATGTTTAAAATATTAAAACCTACTTTTGTAAGAGGATTAGTTGAGATAATTCATGTAAAATACATAATACACTTTCTAGCACATTGTAGGTGCTAAATCAATTTTAGCTACTATTATTGTTTTGCCTTTATATTATTAGTTGTTACAGGTGTCAATATAGTTTGAATCTATTTGGTAAAGAAGCAGTTGGAAAAACAACATATCAGACACTTTCTTTTTCCAGAACAAGCATTATTCAAGAAAAGCTGCATTCATTTTCAGCCGCCCCTGCTTAGTTATGGATTTATAGCATCAAGAGTCCACCATAAGATTAAGCTGTTGCTGGCTTGCAGATTTCTAGAGCTCCCTTTGGCTACTGGAAAAAAAAAATGAGAGTGCTTGCCAGACAGCACTTCCTAATGATGAATTTTATGAAACCCATGCATTCACATTGTTCTAAAAGATCTGGAGGGCAGAATAGAGGAGAAACTACACTTTTGTATCTTGGGTTTACAAAGTCATGAATCCTTTACAAAGTTTATTGAAATTGTGTGGGAAATTAAGTCAAGTTTGAGTGTGACACATTTTGATACACTAAAGAGAAATTATAAGCAATTCTTACAACTGTTTTCATGATGAAGATATAATTTGGCTATGTTTAAAATGTTGGCAGCACAACAATCAATATTTAGATTTGAAAATGTACTTTTTTTTTTTGTATTGTACTTTAAGTTCTGTGATACATGTGCAGAATGTGCAGGTTTGTTACATAGGTATATATGTGCCATGGTGGTAGGCTGCACCCATCAACCCATCATCTACATTAGGTGTTTCTCCTAATGCTGTCCCTCCCCTAGGCCCCCACTCCCCACAGGCCCCAGTGTGTGATGTTCCCCTCCCTGTGTCTATGTGTTCTCATTGTTCAACTGTCACTTATGCGTGAGAACATTTGGTGTTTGGTTTTCTGTTACTGTGTTAGTTTGCTGAGAATGATGGTTTGCAGCTTCATCCATGTCCTTGCAAAGGACATGAATTCATCGTTTTTCATGGCTGCATAATATTATATGGTGTATATGTGCCACATTTTCTTTATCCAGTCTATCATTGATGGGCATTTGGGTTGGTTCCAAGTCTTTGCTATTGTGAATAATGCTGCCATAAGTATATATGTGCATGTGTCTTTATAGTAGAATGATTTATAATCCTTTGGATATATACAACGTAATGGAATTGCTGGGTCAAATGGTTCTCAAAAGAAGATATTTATGCGGCCAACAAACATATCAAAAAAAAGCTCGTCATCACTGGTCATTAGGGAAATGCAAATCAAAAGCACAATGAGATACCATATCACATCAGTTAGAGTGAAGTTTACTTTAATGGAAAAATTAGGAGAGTCAATTTAAGTTATTAAGGATAGTAAGCTCTAATGTAAGTTAATTAATTTATCTTGTGTATAGAATATTATATATGCATATTCATTAATTCAAATTATTACTCAGCTACATTATTTATTGTTCTTGTCAGTATATAAGAGAAATTTATTGTCTTGTCTGCTGTTTTAAATCTATCATGTATCTATCATCTACCTATCTATCTAATCTTTATACACATTTATTTTTGCTTGTGTCATTTGAATGATTTCTGTAGTTCCTGAATTTGTTTTTAAAGCACACAAACTTACTAAGTTTGAATTATGTTATTTAATTTATTTTATAAGTACCTGTACTGAAAATATGCTATTGTTAAAGTGCAATTTTGAAGCAATGAATATGGCTTCGAAAGTCAAATATAAGAAAATAATACTTCTTTTGAAGAAAATATTTTGGCAATGGGTATTATGTTTGATTTCAAAAAGATTAATTTTGGTGCATTTGGCTTACATATACTACTTTTCACATGTCAGAAAGCTGTATAACTTCATTCTCATAGCCAGTAGTGCAGATGGATGGCATAGTTTTTATACACACACAAACACATATGAATATAAACAGAGAGTGAATTCAGATAAGAAATATATATATTTATATTTCATATATAGTATACATATGTATATAACATACATATATGTATTTTATATTCCACCTATGGTGTGTATATATATTTATATACCATACATATATGTATATGCCATACCTATATGTATATATATGTATATACTATAGGTGGAATATAAAATACATATATGTATGTGCCATACATATATGTATATATATTTATATACCATAGGTGGAATGTAAAATTATAAAATATAATTTTATTATATTTTATAATGTAATATTATAAAATATCAGAGCATAATGAAATGCACTTACCATGAATGTCACCATGAATACTGAATTTTTTTTTTCTTTTTTTGCTGCCAAATTCAAAGACACTTACCTCATGTATGAAAATAACCTCTTCATGTGCTCTCACTGATCTGTAATTTCCTGATGGTAACAATTATGTTGTACTAATTTTATGTCTTCTAGCAGCTCAATTATTTTTTGAATTAAGTTCACATGAAGATTATGATTTTTATATATCTGTTTATCATTTTAAATAACAATTAGTGTGTCTAAACATTGATACTTTTTGCTATAAGAAATGATTCAGATTTTACTGCATTTTTGGAATTGAGATATTGATATAATATTTATTTGCTTTATTATGTATATGAAGGTTACATGTTGGGATAATATTCAGATAGCATGTTTAGACACAATCCCTAAGTTTATTTTATCTATTCCTTGCTATTTTCTAAAACCCAAGTGAAAGGATTTGTGTGTTTGTTTTTATTTTGCTTTTACAAATATTATTCTCTATTTTTCCAGCCTTATTCTTGCAGAATACAGAATAGGACAGTCCTCAAAGCTTGGTCACATTGATGAGGAAGAGTCTGGGGGCCACAGTAGTTGTAGCTGTTGCAGCCCAAGACTTCTTTGAATCATCAAGAGGGTTCCTGCCAGGAGAAACGCTTTAAAAATATATAGCCATTATACTTCCTGATTGGTTGATGAGGCAGGCTGTAGCTGAGAATTTAAGCCACTGTGCCAGCTAAAAGACTAACTTGGCAGCTGTTAGAGCAATTACTGGAAGGGGCCATTCTTTGTCTGCTGTGAGCAATAGGTGACTCTAAAGTGCTCAGCTCTTGGCCTTCCAGAGTTTCTGAATTTTTAGGAAGTTATAGGGTAGTCTGTTGAATGTTTTCCTAAAATATAATACTTTGAAATGTATTTGTTTGCTTTAGAAATACGATTCTGATTGTGTTATACAAAATAAAAGTTGGAGGTCTGCCAACACATGCAGACTATATAAAGACATTTACGCTTCAAGGGAAAGCATAATCAGTAAGCAAGTCAATTATTATTGTTAATCTAAAGTATTGCAGTCAAATTAGCAAAGGATAATACACTGGGTACATTTTCTTTGCACAGCAAAGGAAACAATCACTGGAGTGAATAGACAATCTATAGAGTGGGAGAAAATATTTGCACACCATCTGATAAGAGGTCAATCAATCTAAAATATATAAGGAATCCATACAACTCAATAGCAAGAAAAAACCCCAATTTTAAAAAATGGAAAAAAGATCTGAATAGACATTTTTCAAAAGAAGACATGAAGATGACTAGCAGTTATATGAAAAAGAGGCTTAGCATTGCTAAACATCAGGAAAATGCTCATCAAAACAACAATAAGATATTACCTCACACCAGTTGAAATGGCTATTACCAAAAAGAAAAAAGATAACAAGTATTGGTAAAAATATGGAAAAAAGGGAATCCTTCTTTTGTGGGAATATAAATTGGTAAAACCATTATGAAAAAAGTGTGGAGGTTTGTCAAAAAATTAAAAATAGATCTCCTATATGATCCAGCATTCCCAATGCTGAGTTTATAGCCAAAGGAAATGAAATCAGTATTTCAAAAAGATATTTGCACTCTCATGTTTATTACAACATTATTCACAGTGATTAAAATATGGAAGCAATCTTAGTGTCCACCAACAGGCAAATGGATAAATAAAATGTGGTATATACAATGAAATATTATTTAACTGTAAAAGAAAGAAATCCTGCCATTTGCAACACCATGGGTGAATCTGGAAGACATTATGTCAAGTGAAATAAGCCAGGCACAGAGAGACAAATAATAGTTGGTATCATTCATATGTGGAATCTGAAGAAGCTGATCTTATAGAAGAGTAGAATGGTGGTTGCCAGACACTGGGGCAGTTCGGGGGAGTGTTGCATTAAATAATACATTGTTCGTCAAATAATGCATATTTACAGTTAGAGAGGAGGAATAAATAAGTTCAAAAGATCTGCTATTCAGCGTGGTAACGATATTCAATGACAATATATTGTATTCTTGAAAGTTGCGAAGAGAGGGGATGTTAAATGTTCTCATCACAAAAATATAACTGTGAGGTAATATATTTGTTAATAGCCTAGATTTAAGAATTTCACAATGTATATATACTTCAAAATATAATGTTATACATGATAACTACATACAATTTTATATGTCAGTTAAACAAACATATTTGAGTAAATTATTATATTACATACACTCGGGTATATCCACTGGTCAAATTCAAGATATGCTAAAAATTAGTTGCTTAAAGAATAATAAATATTATTCATTCTAACCTAATATTCCTAAAGTTCTGTATGTACTTTACCTAACTTGGAAGAGTATGTATCGTGGAAATTTTGTTTCACCTGATTTTAACATAAAGCTCTTAGGTTTATTTTCAAAACCCCATAGTTTTATTTCAAAACTATGTTCTCAGTCTTTATTTATGTCTTTTGATTTCCAGTATATACTTTATCAAGTAACACTGCTTATCTGTGTTTATATTTTTGAAAATTAAATTCTATAAATCCTTTACATATTTAACAATCACTTACTAATCCCTTAACATGTGTAAGGTTCATTGTCAATTTTCAGAAAGAAATCAAATCGACAAAGATAAGATTACACCTTTAGAGAGCTCATGTTCTATATACAAAAATAAATATATAAAATGTGGTACATTATGTATTCATAGTGCAACTAATATGGAAAAATACATTAATTTCACAAAGACTGTGAATTAAAAGTAAATCTCCATTAAACCTCTAATTATTAAAAATATTTTCCAATGATTTTTGAAGTGATGGAAATAGAACATGAATATGTGCATGTACCTGTTCAATTATATTTATGTGTGTGTCTGTATGACTGTGTGGAGGTGGAGAGGAATAAGTGATGGTTAACATACATCTTTTGTTATCCTGGCTATGATAGAAAAAAATTAAATCAGAAAATTCTCGCGAGATTTAAAAATTTATAAGCATAGCGAGCACATCTTTAAATATATGATATAAAACAAAAATGCTGAAATAGTGAAACATGCATTTTATTAATTTGCAGGAGATTTGAATGTGAACAATTATATAAATGCTTAAATATTTGTTTTTAAATACATGGATTTTTAAAAGCAATTTATTTTTCTTATGAAATGACTAACATTTACTTAGTGAGTGGTAATATTTTGGCTGCACAATTTACTGAAAAGACAAAGAGAATACTTCCTTAACTTTGCAAGTCATAGAGTAATATAATCTAGCAGCTACGTCCCCAGAAATACTTCAAATTGAGAGAAAAACTGAAAAGAAAAGAATTTTGCTCTATAAAGAGGTTGTGATATTTCAGAAGGGAAGTGAAAATAAGACTTTCTTCACTATTTTTAATGGCTGTAGATGTTAGAAAACAATAGGCAAAAACGATCCTTCTAATTTCAATATAGTTCAGATTTAGTCCTATTAATATGAGTTGAAAGATTATAGTACTTATATATGCTTTTTTGGTAAGTTATGAATTCAAACAATACGTAACATTAAAATGGATAAGCAAGTGGTCTGGACTGAATTGTGCCACTTCCCCAATTCCCATGTTAAAGGCTTAACCTCCACTGAGATGGGGGTTGTAACATTAGTCTTGCTTGCCTTTTAAAAATTAATAACAATGGGTTAAGAGTATATTTTCTAACATGGATATCATTGTCTTACCATGCATCCAAGCAACAATACTTCTATAAGAATTAGATAATTACAGGGCAAAATGTTTCTGAAATGCCATATTTAATTCCCTTTTATAATTTTGAAGGTTTTAAAAAAATTTCAGCTTTTATTTTAGATTCAAGAGGTACATTGCAGGTTTGTTTCATGTGTGTAATGTGTGAGCGGAGATTAGGAGTACAATTGATCTTGTCATGCAGATAGTGAGCATAGTAGCCAATAGGTAATTTTTCAACCCTTGTCCCCTCCCTCTCCTCTCTAGTAGTCCCCAGTGTCTATTATTCTACTCTTTGTGTAGAATATTTTAGCTCCCAGTTATAAGTGAGAACATGTGGTATTTGGTTTTCTGCTTCTGCTTTACTTTGCTTAGGATAATGGTTTCTAGCTGTTTCCATGTTGCTGCAAAGGATGTGATTAATTTGAGGATTTTGTATCTAGCATATGACCTTTTAAAAATTAAAAAAATATTCCAAATTTGAACATACATTACTGCCAGAGAATATGTGTAATCACCAAAATGAGTAGTTGCTAATTTTGTTTACTACTGTAATATATTGATTCACATTAATTTTAATTTATTGCATCAAAGAGATCATATCAAGGTGAAGTGGGCAGATAAGCTATTATTGAATTAAGCTAGGAAAAAATATTTAAATCTTTTGCATTGAAGTGAAACTTTAATATTGATTATTTGCACATAGAAAGTTTTCACTTTCACCTGAAAACATTTCTGGAAACTGTGTCAAAAATTAAGTAATATAAAGGAAACCAAGTTTGCATTTCTGTATTAGCAAATATCTAGGCACACTAAGGATCCCATGAATTCTTAATTAAATGAGTTTAAGTTTTAAAAAATGTTAGATTTTCTTGTTTTACTTAGGTACAAACCTGTGGTTTCAACTTATGTCTTGAAGTGTTGGTAGTAAAAGTTCTCAGTTATAGTCTAAAGGCATTAATAGCTTCTTTGGCTATTTTAAGAGGAGGAGTTAAGAATAAACAGACCAACAAAGGAAAAAAATAAGGCATGTAAAAAGGTGTATTTGATATGTGAACAATGAAATCTAAAGCACTGAAAATTGTGACTACTTATATAAATCCTTTATTTGTACCAAAGAACATTGTCATAAGCAGTTTCAGTTTTAGCGTATGTTAATCAGATACATCATTAATTAAACTAGATTGAAATTACCATAGATCATCATTATCAAGCAATATTTACTTTTAGTGAGGTAAATATATTTTTTCATTTTTACTAAAAATTTTGAACATGTACCCTTAACTCATGGCCTGAAATAACTTTCATAAGTTTTGTAACTCATTATTTCATTTATTACCCTGGCAATTCAACTACCAAATTATATTAAGCTAAATATACCACATCCCAAAGGAAATGGAATCATTATATCAAAAGGACAACCACACTCATATGTTTATGGCAGCACTGTTTACACTAGCAAGTCATGGAACCAACAGGGTTCACCAACAACTTATTGGTTATAAAAAATGTGGTACATATATACACCATGAATACTATGCAGCCACAATAAAAGAACAAAATCACATCATTTGCAGCCATATGGATACGGCAGGAGGCCATTATCCTAATTGAACTAACACAGAAGAAGAAATCAAGTACTGTATATTCTCACTTATAAGTGGGAGTTAAACAAAGGGTACACATGGACATGGAGATGGAGAAAATCTACTCTGGGGACTCCAAAGGGGGGAGGTTGGGAGGGAAGGGAGGGTTGAAACATTGCTTGTTGGCTACAGTGTCCAATATTTGGGTGGGTGACATGTGCACTAGAAGCTTAACCCCACCATTAAGCATATAATACTCATGTAATAATCAGGCACATGCACCCCCAGAATCTAAAATTATAACAAAACCCTACATCATATTATTTCACCCACAAGTATTTTAGTGAGGATCTCTAAGATAAAAAGTTATTTTTAAAAGCAAGCACAAAATCATTTCAAACTTGTAAATTAGCATTAATTCTTTAACGTTATCAAGTAACAAGTTCAAATATTTCTGATTGTTTCACAAGTTTGTATTGTTGTTTTTATTTTAGTCTATATTTTCCCTATTCTAACATGTTCTCTCTCTCCCTCCCTCTCTCTCTGTATATATATACATATATATATATATACATATATACATCTGTCTCTCTCTATGTAGATACCTATCTATATATAGATAGATGTATATGTATGTGTGTGTATATATGTATGCATGTATATATTTGTTATATATCCTTTCTCTCTCTTTTCCTTGAAAAATATCTGAGGAAGAATTTGTATCATTCTTCTGATATGGATTATACTGATAGCCCATTGTAGTGCTATTTAAGATGCTCCTGGTTTCTCTGTGTTTCTGTAGATTGCTAGTAAAATTGAGAGGCTAATAGGGGTATTTTGAAACCAGCATAATGAAGGAAAGGAATAGGAAGTACTGTAGATTCAAATAATTATTAGATGTAAATGAGACGCATAGTTCAATCACCATATTTTATAGATGATGCAACTGACATCCACAGACATATCAAAAGTCATAAAACTTGTTGATGGCCTAGCTTCCAATAGAATCTAGGCATCCTGAACTAAATGAACAGGAATAGAAATTTCAGTACACAAAAAAATGCTCTTTACTAATAAAGAGCAGGAGGATATGTTAACAGAGAGAAGCGATTAGGGTTTTACAATTTGTTTCTTCCCTACTATATACTGACCATGTGACATTAGGCAAGTTCTCAATTCTCCGAATCTATAGAAGACATCAGAATAGCTACGACTTTTTTTTCCCAGAAATGTGGAGATACAAATATTTAGTCAAATAACACTTAATTGCCTGTTAAAGAATGCAGTGAAGTTATCTGGACTGCCAGATGCCCACGCAGAATTTAATCCCTGTCATTCAAAAGTGTACATATCATTAACAATTTCCCAAAACCAATACGTGCCAGTTGATCTCATATGGTGGGCTTCTGAGAGTCTGGAGAGTCAACTGTTTATTGGGGTTTGAGATGTACCATGGGGAAAGCTTCTAGCTAAGGTTCCTGGTGCAGGTTTTGTTTCTGTTATTTCTCTTATTAAATGTGTTTGTAATAGGAAAACATTTGTATTAAATATCATGTTATTACATGGCTAAAAGCTATGACTTAAAGCTCATAGGATTTTTCCTTCCAGATTCCCTACTGGGTAAACTTTCTTGGATGGATAGTTATCCAGAAAGATAGCCCTCATAGGGACATATCCGTTGCATGAAACTCCCCCATAGAGAGTCAGTTTCTTTATTTATCATTGAGGAAGAAATGCAAACTGAAAACATTGTGTGACATCTAGGTGTTAAAATACATCTGCTTTGTTACCAAGTGAAGAAACCCAGTCAATAATTATTGAATTCAAAATAAACCAATCATGGACCATTATTGTAAAGGTGAACCCTGGAATCTGAAAGGTCAAAAAGTCCATTGTAGGACCAAAAATTTAATAATGTGTTTCAGTATTACTTCCAGAAAACCTCTGATAAAAATAAAAAAAACTTGCCTAGAGCTCCTTGACACCTGTTCTACAACACTAATATTATAAAGTATATCAGATGTGTTAAACATTATAAATACGACCTCCAGGGGTGCAGAAATACAAAAATCACTTAAACACATAAGCTATCCTTACAGTATGAGTTCTTCCAGTTCACATGAGAGATGTTCAGATAGTTGGATGGCACTGGGCATAGATAAGGTGGATGGGATAGTGTTGCCAAAAGGTTGGCGAAACTTTATGAAGAAAAGGTAACGAGGTGATTTTTATCAAATTCGTCTACTTTATATAACATTTTTTGTCTAAATCCAAGCTTTATCTTTCTACCATCCCTCCAGTTAATCAGAGCTGATTTCATCGACAGCTTGCTTTGGTTAATTACCGCAGTGTTTTAACTGAATGCCCCAAGGTATTGATGTAATCAATGACCACTTCAAGCCTTGGAATTCTAGGAATCTTGGCAGAACTCTGGAGACAGTTTATCAATATCTAAGGTATTCATTTTTTTAAACTACATAAAGCCTATAGATACATGGATAATGATATGACAGTATTTTAACAGTATGATTAGCTGAATATTTCTTCAAAGCTAAAAGACATTTTCTAATACACAGGCTAGGTACTTTGAACAACTATTAACATATGCTTTTTATGAGATAAATCTCAAGTGACTACTTTATACAATAATCCTTAGAATTTTAACATAAAATGCAATATTTTATTCTTCACAGCTATTTGGGTCATTGAATTGGGAAATAAGATTCTCACAGTATAGTAAATAGATTCTTAGCCTGGGCATTCAGAAACATAAACTTGTATTTTCAAGTTGACTACCTGTGATCTGTATGACCTTGGCGAGATAGCTTGATCACTGCCAGAAGTTTTTTGTATCCCCTATTTGGGAAAGCAGTTTTCTCTGTGTTTGCCTTTCCAGATTCATCTTTCCCCATGCCACCTGCCATCTGTCAAACTCAAGGCCACGGTATAGCAGTTCCATTGCATGAATTGTAGCTGTCTGATCTGGTGATGCTCTCTTAGGTCATAGCACCTGTTTATCAATGGAAAGTTTGGAGGCAGGATCCTGCCACACTCCTCCTCTTCTCCTACTCACATTTTCCTGATTGATTGTACATGAATGTATCTTTTTAATGCAGTATAGATGTCACTTCCTCCCTGGAACTTTTCCTGACTCTCCTCTTGTTTTCATTCTGAGGTGCTTGCATGTGCTCCCATATCATTAGGGTGAACATAAATATTTTGTTTCCAGTTGTAGCACCAGCTTACATCTGTTTTCTTAGCTGAATTATAAAGAGTGACCACTTTTACTCACAAATATTCCCATTTGTATAATAAATTATACAGTTGCAGTACACAGCTTCCTCTGTTTGTTCCTGTCCTTCCACTGTTAACTTACATTTTTTTTTTTTTTTTTTTTTGAGACGGAGTCTCGCTCTGTTGCCCAGGCTGGAGTGCAGTGGCGCTATCTCGGCTCACTGCAAGCTCCGCCTCCCGGGTTCACGCCATTCTCCTGCCTCAGCCTCCCAAGTAGCTGGGACTACAGGTAACCACCGTACCAAGCCCGGCTATTTTTTTATTATTATTTTTTAGTAGAGACGGGGTTTCACCGTGTTAGCCAGGATGGTCTCGATCTCCTGACCTCGTGATTTGCCCGCCTTGGCCTCCCAAAGTGCTGGGATTACAGGCGTGAGCCACCACGCCAGGCCTGTTAACTTATATTCTTACTGCCAATTTATATGGCTGTTTTCTCCAGAAGAATGTAAGATTCTTAGCATCAAGTGAACTGTGTCTAACTATCATTAGAACTTTTAGTGTTTAGCTGTTGCGCCTAATCATTTAGGCATGGGAGATATCACTCTTGTTGTTGGAAACTGACAATTTTTAAATTCCATACTCATGCTGGAAACCAAGATTATGATTGTTGATTATATCCCATCAACAAAAAATAATGCATGCAAGCTAATATGTATTTAATTATTTATATGTTACATGCAAACTACAATCTATTAATATAAACATTAGAAAATATATTTATAAAATAAATTCAAAGATATATAATAAAATAAATATACATGTTGGATCTAATTTTTTCCTATACCTCATAGAATCTTATTGGTTCCCTCCTACAGTGTGATATGACCTTTGGACATATGACCAAAGGAGATGTATTAAAAACTCCTTTTGTTATAGAAAAACTTATTCTGAATAAATGATTTGGCAAAATGTTTATGATTATGCTTGTTATAAGCTTTTGTCTACCCTAACCATAATATTAAGGAAGGGAAAACTAGGACAAAATAGATACAGGAATAGATGTATGAGAGCCCTTGTTACCATAAATAAATTGAAAGTTCTATAAATAATGAATCTAAATACGGTGTTGTCAATATTATTCAACTTTCACACACATACTGCAAGGACTTCTTAGTTCAGCTCTTGAAATTTTTTCTAAGCACCTGGAAATCATATTCAATGGAAATAAAGGCATTAATATGACATAAAATTATAACCATCCCTGTCTAAATAAGGGTAACACTTCCTTCGATTTATATGGTGAGTTAATGATAACCAAAACTTTGACATATCTCATTTTTTCTTTACAAAGAACTTCTGAGATAAATAACAGAGGTATCACTATTTGTTTTCCTTTTTGGCAAAAATTATCTTAATCTGTGATATTGCCAAAGTGTCTTTTCATTCTAAATCTAGTATACCATTTCATTAGCCATTTGCCTAAACATATTAATTATTAACCCAGTAATTAGTACTAATGTAGTCAAAAATTATTTAAAATAAAAACTCTTAGTTACCACTAGCTACAAGCTATTACCTTAATTCTCTTACATCAATGACATTTTAAATTAGTTTCTGATTGATAACTCATTAGCTATTACTATACCTATATTACCATAGTACCAAAGGAAATAAATAATTCTCTTAATTAAGATCTTCAGGGAATTCAGTAGCAGAAATTGTTGAAAACCTTTTTCTTTCTTTTGACCATTGATGTGGTTTGGCTGTGTTCCCATCCCAATCTCACCTTGAATTGTAGCTCCCATAATTCTCACGTGTTGTGGGAGGGACTTGGTGGGAGGTAATTAAATCATGGGGGCAGGTATTTCCTGTGCTGTTCTCCTGATAGTGAATAAGTCTCACATGATCTGATGGTTTTATAAAGCGGAATTCCCCTTCACCCACTGTCTTCCCTGATGCCATGTAAGATGTGACTGTGATCCTCATTCACCCTCAGTCATGATTGTGAGGCCTCCCCAGCCATATGGAACTGTGAGTCAATTAAAACTCTTTCCTTTATAAATTATCCAGTCTCAGGTATGTCTTTATTACCAGCATGAGAACAGACTAATACAGCCATCTTCTCCATTTTCATAGACTTAACTAATCATTATATGTCCTACACACTGAGTGACACCATAAGACATGTTACCAAGGCATGCTAAGAATATCTTATGTGTTTAAAGGAAGCAGGAAATGGAGAGTGCTATGGTTTGAATATGTTCCCTCAAATTCATGTGTTGGAAATTCAATTCCCAATACAATAGTATTAAGAAGTGAAGCCTAATGGGAGGTGTTTAGGTCATAAGGGGTCCACCCTCATGGATGAATTAATGCAGATTATAAAAGCACTTGAGGCTTCTAGTTCAATCTCTTGCTTCCTCTCATGCAATTATCTCTCTTACTCATGTTATGCTTTCTGCCATTTTGTGACATAGAAAGAAGACCCTTACCAGATGGCAGTGTCATGTTCTTGGACTTCCCAATTTCTAGAACTATGAGCCAAATAAATGTGTGTTCATTAAACATTACCCAGTCTCATATTTCTGATGCAGCAGAACAAAATGAACTAATGTAGCATGAATCATACTTTTTATTTTTTTTTGCAAGGTGCTGTAAAGTTTATTTTCATCTTTTTCTCATGAGTAAAATAAAAGATTTATTTGTTTCTCATGTACCCAATACAATGGTAGACTCCGTTATACTTTACTGATAATTTGCATCAAACTTAGGACAGATACTTGTGTTCTGGGAAATTTTTTCTCCAACTTGGTTGAATTATAGATGAGTATCAAAAACTGAGGGTGGTCATCCCCAAATTCAAAGCTTGAGATGTTTTATCTGAAACAAATATTAAATTTATTTAGAGGAGGGAAGAAATGGAATGTGCTATTGTTTGAATATGTCCCCCAAAATTCATGTTTCAAGAGATAAAAATAAAGCCTACTTTAACATAAACTAATTTAACAAATTATATTGTCTTATGATTCATTAGATTTGTTCATTCTAGCGTCTCAGAAGAAATGTATTAAAAGTCAAGTGTGTTCTAGCAAAACACATATTAACTTTAACACCTTTAAAATTGAATCATAATAATAACCAAAAACCTCACTGAAAGTTAAATTTTAAATAATGAATTTGTTAATGTTGGCTAGCCATTCAAATTTCTAGTTCTCATCATTCATCTGTTAAACAAATGTTACATTCTCACAGAAGTTTTTCCTAAACTACCAGTCCGTGTTCTCTCCAAATCATGCTCCAACATTTTCTTTTGTAGAACTCATTTCTAATTTAAATTATTCAATTTTCCCTTTATTGACACCATTACCGCCTTAAACTATTCTATTTTTATCTTTGTCAAATTTTATATTGTATCCCTTTACTAGAATGTAAGCCAGAATGGAGGGAAAAACCCTGACTGTATTTTTCATGACCATAAATTATCCAAGAGGCACCAAACATTACCCGTATGTTTGAGTTGAATAGATATATGAATGAGTAGATGAATGGTTAACAACTATTGCAAATGAAATAGAAGTAATGGAAACAGATGGAATTTGAATAAGATAACCTAGGGCTGGATTTGGGGCAAATTATTCAATCTCTCTGCAATTCAGCAGTCTTGTCTGTAAAATTAGGACAATAAAAATACCTATACCATATATCCAATTAGACCATTAAAGTGTTAATATTTCCATTATAATAACAATGAGTATTTGTGTGTTTTCAAGCTTAAATACTTAAAAAAAAAGACACAGTATAGAGTAATTATTAAGAGCATGTCCTGTCAGACTGCCTAGATTCAAATACTCCCTCTACTGCTCAGAACATCTGTGTATCTTGAGCGATGTATTCAATTCACTTACACCTCTACTTTTTGTCTGTAAAACGGGGAAAAAATATTTACTGTCTTATAGTTTTATGATGATAGAGTTTATTAGTTATATATTAAATTAATTACTTTTAATTATATATGTTAAATATCAATAATTTATTATTAATCTATTATCCAGGACTCATCTAGTATTTATTAGTGGTAGTGTTAATTTTTATTTTTATTATCCCTGTGGACTTTTTGGAGAAAGTAGTGAGTTAAATTTGAATTTGTAGAGATTGTAGTGCTTGTAGAAATCTCAACAGGTGGCCAGGCATGGTGGCTCATGCCTGTAATCCCAGCACTTTGGGAGGCTGAGGCAGGCGGATCACAAGGTCAGGAGTTCGAGACCAGTCTTGCCAATATGGTGAAACACTGTCTCTACTAAAAATACAAAAATTAACCGGGCATGGTGGCACGCACCTTTATTCCCATCTACTCGGGAGGCTGAGGCAGAAGAATCCCTTGAACCCCAGAGGCGGAGGTTGCAGTGAGCCTAGATGGCACCACTGCACTCCAGCCTGGGTGACAGAGCGAGGCTCCATCTCAAAAAAAAAAAAAAAAAGAAGAAGAAGAAATCTTAATATCTATATTCAGGGAACGGACATTGTTATATGGCTGCATACTCAGGAGAGTGGTTTGTATTTTAAATCCTTACTGAAGACAATCTTACCCCATTTGAGCTAATATAACAAAATGCCATAAAGTAGGTTGCTTATAAGCTACATAAGTTTATTTCTCACAGTTGTGGAGGCTGCAAGTCCAGATCAAGACACTGACAGACTTAGAGTCTGATAAGGGCCTCCTCTGCAGTCCATAGATGGCACCTCCCAGCTGTGTCCTCATATGATTTGAGAGACAAAGTAAGCAGCTCTCTGGGTCCTCTTTTGTAAGAGAACTAATCCGCTTCATGAGAGTTGCACCCACATCATCTTATCACCTCCCAAAGACCATCACCGCTTAATACTATCACGTTGGTGATTAGCCTTGAACATAAGAATTTGAGGGGGCGCAAATGTTCAGATCACAACTAATGGTAATAATAAAACTGTAGATTCAAAACATGGGGTGGCTATTAAATTTTCTAAAGCAAGTATGTCCAATGAAAACACAAAATCATGAAGGAATTGAAAGAACAAGAATTTTGAAATGGCAACAAGAATCACACAGGACTAAAATGTCTGAGAGTTAAAAGAAGAAAGGAAGAATAGAATCATAGAGATTAATGAAACAAGTTTAATAAGAGGCAGAGAATTATAGATATGCTAAAGAGAGATCAAGTAAGGGACAATTTGAAAAGTCCACTGCCATGGCCAGTAAGGAAGCCAGTATTGTGCTGCAGGTAGAAATAATAATATGAAGAAATGAGTGAGTGGGGTATGAAGATGTAACAATAACAAAACAGCATAGGAACGTGATGAACAGGAAGATAGTAAGGAAGTGAGGTTTGCTTGAGAACAGTTTTAAAATTTTCTATTATTTAAATGGCACAGACTTGAGCTCATTTGTAAGCTCATGGGAATTACTCAGTGATGAAATTTTCAAATAATTGACTAAGCATATTTATAAGGAATGTTATCCAAAGTATGATTAAAGGTTTTTACTCTCATAGAACTGATCAAATAAGAAAAGATATCTACTATCTTCTAGAGAAGAGGGAAAGAAATAAGGATGGGAATAAGTATTTTCAGGTATTGGCTAAGGTGGCTAAAAATGTATGCCTTATACCATCTTACCATTACCATATGGCAAAATCAGATGCAGTTTCAGTTTTTGCACTGTTTTCTTGCACCTTTCCGCACTCAGATGTATGATTCTGTATTATATTTCTTTCTGACTTCATTTCTTCTGCTTCCTTCCTTTTGTATCTTCTCAATTTATTTCATTTTATTTTTATCCTTACAAAAAGGTCTTGAGGTAGATTACAGAGATAAATGAAATGCCTCAACATAGCAAATCAGAACAGAATGTAAAGGATAAAATAAAGGGGGGACAGAACTAAGGATTTAAAATGGAGTTTAAGTCAAAATGTATATGTAAAATTTCCATGCAATCACTAAGGCCAAAACCAAATTTTGACATCAAGTTTTCTTGTCACTAATGTGAATGGGAAATCTCTATGTTAAGTAATATGTACTGTTTGTGAAATACAGGCAAATCCTTAGGACAAACACAAATATTTCTAATATGTGGAATCCACTCAGGAATTCTCATAAAACAAATCCTGAATAATGAAATTAAGATAACATTTTAACAGATAGTATTACAGTCTACACACAGGTGAATTTAGAACAATTAGATTGTTACTTATTGTGAGTAATGACATCATACTGAAACAATGCTCTGAGGAACAAATTGAATACTTCCTATTTATATAGCTCTCTGATTGCATAGCTTAATCCTGAGTAGATTTTTGAATATATAGGAAAAATAGACTGCATAGTTTTCCTTAAAGATTATTTATTGTAGATAATATTTTATTTGATATAATGTGATTAGAAGTTAAAGATCATAATGATTGGCCATTCTCTATGTCACAGCTTGCTCTGCAAATGACCTTATTTGTTCTCTACATATTTCTTCACAAAGTCTGACACACTGTTCTACAATGAAATAGCTTAACCTAAAGTTTAGCAGTTTCTTTTACAAAATATTAGCCTGAGAAACACAAAACTAATGTTTATCACAAAAGAAGCTAGCATACAATTTAAATAGAATGTCTGTAATTTGAAAGGGGAAGCTTTGTCTTTAAAATGAAGGAGGGTGAGATAAATCATATTTGAATTCAAAACAAACAGTTCATGTTTATTTTTTAACCTATGATCAAAGATAGGAACTCAGAATGATTATTGAACAGTTTTAAGAATATTACATGCCTTTGCTAATTTAATCCTCATTATATTGTGATCTTTTTGGAGATTTATAGGCCTCATTGTAATATGGCCAAATTGAGAACAGGACACCAAGTAACTTATCCAAAATTACATAGTTTTTAAATCTTGTAACAACAGTGAGATTTGAAATTAACCTGACAGTAACTCTGGCTGCAGAATCTATGCTCATAAACACTAAGCAGTATATCTCCTTGTGCAGAGAGCAATAATCTTGCACTGTCTATACTATCTAATTCTCTAAGCAATAGCCATAAGTGGCCATGAGCACTTGAAATGTGGCCATTCAGATTTCAGCTGTGCTATAAGTATAAAATACACATCAGATTTCGAATATTTAATACAATAAATAATGTAAAAATGTAAAATATTTCATCAGTGATTTTGACAATGACTACATGTGGAAATAATATTTGGGATATAATGAGTTAAATAACATGTTATTAATTTTAAAATTAATTTTACTTGTTTCTTTTTCTCTCTTTTATGATGCACTGATTTTAACATGATAGGTAGGCAGTCAGATTATAGGATCCAAACAAATACTTAATAAATGAATAAATTAATGGTTGATGCATTATAACTACTCTTCTGGATAAAATACCAACACTTTTGCTCAACATAAATGCACCAATATTTTGGCTTTTGTGAGAGTCTGTGTCTGCAGAACAGGAATATTACTTTTTAATTTAAAAAATATTTTTAAAAAACAATTTATTGAAGTTTGATTGACATACAAAACTGTACGTATTTAATCTATACAAATAGAGATAAGTAAACCATTGCCACAATTTACACCGCAAACACATGCATCACCTCTTTTAAGAGGATACTATTAATAAAATAACGTAATAGCATTTTACTGAATGCTTGCTGTGTTCTAACCAATGCTTGCTTGTTCTAACCTTTTCATATGTATTACTTCATTCAATATTCATAATTATATAAAATAGGTATTATTGATAACCTTACTTCAGAAATGAGAGAAGTGGAGCCAACAGAGGTTAAATAAAAATCTGAGGGCCAACTAATTAGTAATTGAGAGTGGAATTCAAACCTAGGTAGGGCTCTGGTAGATGAGGATGAAGGTATTAATAAAGTAATAAACTTGGGGGTAACGATATCCATTTTCTAATGTTCTAATCTCATTTTTTAATTCCTTGGGTAATCTTGGTCAAGGCAGTAACTATTTTGTGTAACAGTTTGCTCACCAATGAGATGAAAGGCTCTAAATATCTTGTAATATATATATATATATATATATATATATATATATATATATATATATTTAAGAACATCAAAGTCTGAAAAAACAATATGAATCCAACTTTTCTTTCCAGGATTTTATCCCAGCATCCCTTATACAAGTCGTGCACCACAGCCAAAGTGAACTATTTATTGATTATTGAATATACCCAACATGTGTTCTTACTCCTCACATATGGTGTCCTCTCTGCCTACATGTATTCTCCTTCATCTCTCACTATGGAGACTGTTTAATTTTCAATGCTCCTATCAACCTTTGTGTCCTCCTTTATTCTTTTTTGATTATTACCTGCACATAACTTCCTTGCCTTCTGAACAATCATTATGTTTTAAGTATATTTTGGAATTTATCTCCCTTCACATAACATTATGGTTATGGTATACTTGACTAATTATTATGCATTTATAAGCTACTTCATGTCAAATATCATGCTTTACTCCTTTGTGTATTTTCTGCATTTTACATTAGTCATAAATGCTCCAATATGATTATCAAGTTTAATAGCATCTTCACCTGACTACTAAGAAATCCAGTGATAATTTCTGTCTCTAGAAAGAGAGAGAGAGAGAGAGAGATACTTTTTCCTTGCAAAAAGAGGTGGCAGTTGAAACTGTTGCAATTCACTGCAACAATTTTGAGAAAAAAATGTAATTACAGAATTTATATCTTCTTTTTCTTTCTAATAGGAAAAAATATTGAGTGCACACATATATTCTCACATTAATACACATCAACTTATTCTTAAGTTAATATCAAGACATTTCCAGTAACTAATTCTAATGAGATAGAAAGTATATATTTGGCAAGTTCATAGGTTCTCTGCTTGTTCAATTATACAATCAAATATTCATTTTATTGGTTTAGTTTTCTATATTAAGATATATAAAATTTTCTGGAAGAAAATTAGATCTATATATGAGATCAAAATGTTGAGCCTTAAAATTATGAAGTGACTCAAAATCTAAAATTATTTAGTTGAAGAAAGGAGTCATTTGTAAAATTTAACAGACATGCGACTTCATTTTCTATTGACATATTTTCTATGTCAATCTTTTTGAGAGGGTAGGAAGTTCATTCTGGTGTTGATTTTAAGGCATTCTTTTACAATACCATTAAAAAAAAAAAATACCTAGAAAACAGTTAACCGAAAACACCCACTATAGGTCAGCACTAAAGTCAAAACCAGTTGACCTGTGAAGAAGAAAGACTGAGTTTCTGTATTCATGAGCAGGGGTGACAAGAACTCCATGTTAATTCACCATTATTAAAACATCATCAACTTTTAATAATTTGTTAAATGTTATATTAACAATTTCAATGTTCAGATTAACCCCATTATTTTAAGAACAATTTTATAGTTATTATTCTTGTTAACTTTGTCATTTTACAAATAATTTCAACATTATAATCATAAAATCTCTTTCAATGACAAGTACAAATATCATAAAACATAAATGTTCACTCTTTGAAATAATTATTTGGCCAAAAGTGTTGAACACGTAACTTGTCAGAAATGGGCCTGTATGGTTACTTCTATTAATAGATCTACATATAAAGGATAAAGATGCTTTATCAATATGTTGCTACTAGTTTTCTAAGGAATCTAGAATGTATATACACATATATATCTATATTATATATAATTTAATATATAAAATAAGATGTTTAAATACAAATATTATTTAATTTATTAGCATTATAAATAGATAATACATGTATATGTATCTGTGTGTGTATGTATATGCATGAACTGTAGATTATTTCCTAATTTCTTAGAATGTGTTGAAGTGGAAAACAATTTGTATTTTATGCAAAGCTATTAGGATATTCTGTAGACCATTTATATAATATTATGTAACAGGAATTGGAATTTAGAGCAACCATAAAGAAAATAATCTTTATATAACTGACAATCACAATATTAAAGCATGAAAACCAGGAGAATTTGAGAAAACGCATTGTCCTTTCTTAACTTCATTCCCACTCTATCTACCTTCCAATATTGGGACAGATATCTCAGTGGCAATTCATTTGAAACTTTTGCATTTCAAAATACAGTCTCTGTGACTAAATAAAAGGTGTTGTCCGGTTTAAACTGATAGTAGAATCCGGAATGATATTTCATTCAAGCAAAGTTATTGCACATAAAAACAAAATAGTTCCAATAATTCTATCTCACTTATGGAACTAAACTTCTTATAATTATAATATAAAGATATTCTTCACCATTATACTTACATTATGTTTAGTCTCATGATTTACAAATATTTGATATGATTACTGGTGTAGAATTGACAGAGAAATAAATATAGATTTACATATTTTGTACATTAATAGATTTAAAATAGATATACTGTTTTAAGATATCTACATGTGCATGAAATAAAAGTTAAATTGTACTAGAATTCATTTATATTAATATTGGTGCTGAATATTATGAATATATATTTCATCTAATATGGCATACAGATATGTCAATATTTTAAACAAGTTAGCTGTATTTGAAAGGAAGTATGCCATTTAAAAAATTATGTATGTATAAGAGATAGATTACTGTGTGCTCAGATTAATAGGCATCTTTGTTAGTTTTCTTTACATGTCAGTTACACATTTAACTTAAATTCAGACTCCATGAAAATTACATGGTGAAGAATGCATGGAGCACATTATGCTTCTTTCCTTCTAAAATCTCTCACTTGTTTTCTTAGTTTTTCTGTACATCAATAATTCCTTCTAGCTTCCCCTAAGAATCCACACTTTATTGTGTTATTCCTTAATTTTCTTTTATGTGAATTAAATGTTTTATTTAATTCCCTCTGGAACTCTGTAATTATCAAAGCATCCCTGAGCTATAAAATGGAGTTGTACATAAGATAACATTTTCTCCTTCTTTCAACCATTTTTTATGTCTCTGTACGTGCTAATCAAAGTGCTCCTCTTCTTTTAGACAGCCCTACTTTTCCTTAGACACTTAATTTGTCACTGCCACCTATTCAAAACCCTCCCTATACACTATATCTTCATTGAGTTCTTGAGAAGAACCTACAAATTTGACATGCATAATAGAGAAGATACAGCCTTTGAAACTTGGACATTTTTATTCTTATTTCAACATTCATGACCTCTAACAATCTTTAATGTTTAAGTTAATTTTCCCTGATGTATGAAATCAATTTAGAACCTCATGAAAATTAATTAAATTAACATATTTACACATCTAACAAAGAAGAGTCATCCTTAGGTATACACAGTGGGCTGGTTCTAGGACCTTTCATGGATACCCACATCCTCGGATGCTCAAGTCCCTGATACCAAATGGTGTAGTATTTACATATGAGTTATGCACATTCTTCTGTATATTTTAAATCATTTCTATATTCCTTATAATTTTAATACTATGTAAATGATTTGTAAATAGTCATTCTACTGCATTGTTTAGGGAATAATAACAAGAAAATACCTGCACATGTTCAGTACAAACACAGTGTTTTTTTAAAAAACTTTGATTCATGGTTGATTGAATCCATGGGTACTGAGGACTGACTATACTGTCACACAGGAGTCATTTAGTAAGTGGTAGTTTTCTATACATTTTTAAAAAATACCATCCTGTTTTTTCTTCTTATTTCAGGATGTATAATTACTCACTAACCTCCAAGTTACTTCCAGAGACCATATTAGATGCTACCTTTAGAATATAAGTCAGCATAGTTGACCTCAAGGATTTATTTTATTTTACTACATAATCTTGTCTAAAACGCTGAAATCTGACTTCTGTCTGTCACCATCTATTGAAAGCTATTTCTCAGAACTTACTATGGTATCTCATTTATTCCGCATATTTAATTAGTATCTGTTGAACAGCAGCATAGTATGTGCCATCATCATTTTTCTTGACTCCGCAGCATTCGACATTGATCAACATCTCCCCATTTTGAAATTCTTCTCTTTGAAGCTTACTTTATATCAATGTTCTTTTCTTTCTGCTCCTCTGATTTGTATCCTTCTGCCTTGCTGTAATTCATTCTCCCATAACCTATTACAGGTTTTTGTAATCCTATCAACATTTAACCCTCTAATTAATGTCTTAGTTCTCCCCTGACCTCACGCTGAGCTTCAGTCCTACGTTTCTAGTCACCAGCTATATATTTCTATGTCTTACCATCTCAAACTCAATGCATCTTTAAAATAATTCTACAAATGTGGACATAAAGCCTTTGACATAAAACCCATTGAGCTATGAATGTCCTGTTATTACTAACACTAATCTCACAGTTCGTCACCCTTGTCTTGATCTGTGGTGCTTCAGAGTTTATATACAGGAGGATTTAGAGAGACTGGCTCAATAACATAGAAGAAAGAATCACAGATTAAGAAATTTTTGTTAAAGTTTTTCATGGAAATCACCTTAAATATTATTTTTAAATGATAAAAAATAACACAAACTTTAAAAATGCTTTATTTTCTACTTTTCTAAAATTATAAAAATATAAATTAAAATTGTATTATTATTAGAAGTATATTTAATATTGTTAATATTTAAGATGGTTTGTAGAGCAGTAATGGATATTATTAGAAGGCTCAAATCTGCCATCCCTCAGCTTACCCTAGAGAACTGTGATAGATACATTTAACTCTTCCTACATTTTTTTTTTGTTGTTGTTGTTCTTTCAAACTTTTATTTTAGGATCATGGGGTATACGGGCAGGTTTGTTACATGGATTAATTGCATGTTGCGGGGGTTTGATGTACAGATTATTTAGTCACCCACTTAAGGATTATAGTACCTGATAAGTACTATAATAGTTTTTCCAATCTCACCCTCCTTCCACTCGCCACACTCAAGTAAACCCCAGTATCCATTGCTCCCTTTTTTTCTGTGTTCATGTGTACTCAATGTTTAGCTCCCGCTTTTAAGTGAGAACATGCAGTATTTGATTTTCTGTTCCTGCGTTAACTTGCTTAGGATAATGGCCTCCAGCTCCATGCATGTTGCTGCAAAGAATATGATTTTATTCATTTTATTAACAGCATAGTATGCCATGGTGCATATTTACCACATTTCCTTTATCTAGAGAATCTTGTTGGGCATCTAGATTGATTCTATGGCTTTGCTATTGTAAATTGTGCCGCAATGAATATAATGTGCATGTCTCTTTAGGATAGAATTATTTATATTTCTTTGGGTATATACCCAGGAATTGGGTTGCTGGGTGAAATAGTAGCTCTACTTTTAAGTTATTTGAGAAATCTCCAAACTGCTTTGCACAGTGGCTGGGCTAATTTACATTCCCAATGGCAGTAGTATAAGGATTCCCTTTTTTCCACAGCCTTACCAGCATCTGTTATTTTTTGACTTTGTAATAATAGCCACTCTGACTGGTGTGAGATGATATCTCATTGTGGTTTTGATGCATTTCTCTGATGATTACTGATGTTGAGCATTTTTTCATGTGCTTGTTGGCCATATGTATGTCTTCTTTTGGGAAGTTTCTGTTCATGTCTTTGTTTATCTTTTAATAGGGCTGTTTATTTTTTGCTTGTTAATTTGTTTAAATTCCTTATAGATTCTGCATATTAGACCTTTGTCAGATGAATAGTTTGCAAATATTTCCCCCATTCTGAAGGTTGTCTGTTTACTCTGTTGATAGTTTCTTTTGCTGTGGAGAAGCTCTTTAGTTTAATTAGGTCACACTTGTTTTTGTTGCAGTTACTTTTGAAGCCTTCATCATGAAATTTTTATAGGGCCTATGTCCACAGTGATATTTCCTAGATTATCTTCTTTTTTATGGTTTTAGGTTTTATATTTAAGTCTTTAACCTACCTTGTGTTGATTTTTGCATATGGTTAAAGAAAGGGCTCCAGTTCTGCATATAACTAGCCTGTTCTCCCAACACAAATTATTGAATAGGGGGTTCCTTCTCCATTGCTTGTTTTTGTCAATTTTGTTTATTTCTGGCTTCCCCAATCTGTACCATTGACTTATGATCTGTTTTTCTACCAGTACTATGATGTTTTAGTTACTGTAGCCTTGTAGTATAGTTTAAAGTTGGGTAGTGTGATGCCTCTGGATTTGTTCTTTTTGCTCAGTATTGCTGTGGCCATTTGGATTCTTTTTTGGCTCTGTATGAATTTTAGAATAGTTTTTCTAATTCTGCGAAAAATGTCATTGATAGTTTAATAGGGATAGCATTAAACCTCTAGATTGCTTTGTATAGTATGGTTATTTTAATAACATTAATTATTTCTATTCATGAGCATGTAATGTTTTCCCATTTGTCTGTGTCATCTCTGATTTCTTTCAGCAGTGTTTTGTAACTTTCATTTTAGAGACCTTGCCTCCCTGGTTAGCTGTATTCCTATATTTTATTTTTTTGTATGTGGCTATTTGTTAGTGGGATTTCATTCTTGATTTGTCTCTCAGATTGGACATTATTGGTGTATAGAAATGCTACTGATTTTTGTACATTGATTTTTGGTACTGAAACTTTGCCGTAGTTGTTAATCAGATCGAAGAGCTCTTGGGTAGAGACTGTGGGGTTTTCTAGGTATAAAATAATATCATATGTGAAGAGAGATAGCTTGACCTCCTCTTTTCTTATTTGGATGCCTTTTACTTTCTCTTGCCTAATTGCTCTGGCTAGAACTTCTAGTACTATGTTGAATAGGAGTGATGAGAGTGGTCATCCTTGTCTTGTCCTGGTTCTCAGGAGAATTTTTCTAGCTTTTGTCCATTTAGTATAATGTTGGCTGTGGGTTTGCCATCATTGGCTCCCTATTTTTAGATATGTTTCTTAGATCCCTAGTTTTTTGAGGCTTTTTTAACATGAAGGAATGTTGAATTTAATTGAAAGCCTTTTCTGCATCTATTGAAATGATCATGTGGGTTTTAATTGTTTTTACATGGAAATTAAATAAGCTGCTCCCAGATGACGTGGGTAAACAATGAAATTAAGGCAGAAAGATAATTGTTTGAAACTAAGAAAAACAAAAATACAACGTATTGAAATCTCTGGAACACAGCTATATCCATGTTAGAAGAAATTTTATAGTGCTAAATGCCCACATGAAAAAGTTAGAAAGATCTCCAGTTAACAATCTACCATCACACCTAGAGGAACTGGAAAAACAAGAGCAAACCCACCCCAAAGCTGCAGAAGAAAATTAATAACCTAATCAGAGCTGAACGGAATGAAATTGAGATGTGAAAAATTATACAAAAGATCAATGACACCAAAAGCTGGTTATTCGAAAGAATAAATAAGATCGATGGCCTGCTAGCTAAGTTAATAAAGAAACAAATAGAAAATCCAAATAAACACAATCAGAAATGATAAAGGGGACATTACTTCCTACCCTAATTCATTTTAAGAGGCCAGCATCATTGTGATACAAAAACTTAGCTGAGACGCAACAAAAAATGAAAGCTTTAAGCCCATTATTTTCAATTGTTCATGAGACTCATTCCATTTATTTTACACAATATCTCAAACCTGTCCCTTCCTTTCTATTACCACTGCCAAAAATTACAGTCTTAAGTAAGGGTCTGTAGCCTTACATCCAGAGAATTACAGAAAACTTTTAGCTGATTTATTTGTGCCTCCCCCCCTCCCAAAGTTTTTTCATTCAATCTATCCAATATATTACCTTCAAATGAATCCTTCTAAAGTAGGACATTGATCACGCAAATATTGAGATCGAAAATCCTGTTATCTCTGGTTTGCCTGATGGATAAATTCCAAACATTTTTCAAAATTTGGAACCCTAGGTAACCTGGCATTCTTAGTCTCAGTTGCTTTCAACTGCTTATATACATGAAACCATTAAATCAGCTTACCAAACTCTGTAAATGTACTTTTCACTTCCCCGCTTTCTCACATTTGCTCTTGATGGTTTATCTTTCCTTATCGCTTAACATCCCCCCTAAAGTGAGGGGAAATTTACATTTTATTTTTCCCAACGAGTCTAGCTGGAACTTTGCCTCACAAACTAGCAACAAGGGAGTCTTTGCCTTTCTGAATTTTGTATATTTGACATAACTTAAGAAACACTGTAAAACATAAGCGTTAAGCTTCAGAATTTGAAGATTCTCTGATTTCTCACTTAGAATTAAAAGGCTGAGTATACAGCCATGTGTTTCTTCAAATTGGGCATGTACACACATACACATAAATTGCTTATATAATTTCCATACTTATATATGTGAACATATACATTGACAATTATCCTGTCATCAGATCATCCAATGGCTGTTTCAGAGATTTAAGATGATATTGATATTACTTCTAGAGGCTAAATGTTGTATAATGATTTTAGCATATCATAGATGCTAATCTTAATAGTATTTCTAAATCATAATCTTTCCTTTGTTTCTTCCTCTTAATCTCCATGAAGAAGATTATAGATTTGAAAGGTGAAGTAAGTTAGAATAAAACCATGTTAATCATTACCTTGGCAAAAATTGTGTGAAATTCAGTATAAAGAAAAGCATTACTAATAGCCCTTCTCAAGCATAGAAAAAGGGATACTCTATATGTGACTGATTCTAACTAAAATTAGGCATTGAATAATAGTTTTTAAAAGACACATGCACACATATGTTTATTGCAGCACTTTTCACAATAGCAAAGATTTGGAACCAACCCAAATGTCCAACAATGATAGACAGGATTAAGAAAATGTGGCACATATACACCATGGAATACTATGCAGCCATAAAAAATGATGAGTTCATGTCCTTTGTAGGGACATGGATGAAATTGGAAATCATCATTCTCAGTAAACTATTGCAAGGACAAAAAACCAAACACTGCATGTTCTCACTCATAGGTGGGAATTGAACAATGAGAACACATGGACACAGGAAGGGGAACATCACACTCTGGGGACTGTTGTGGGGTGGGGGGAGGGGGGAGGGATAGCATTAGGAGATATACCTAATGCTAAATGACGAGTTAATGGGTGCAGCACACCAGCATGGCAAATGTATACATATGTAACTAACCTGCACATTGTGCACATGAACCCTAAAACTTAAAGTATAATAATAATAAAATTAAAAAAATAATAAATAAATAAATAAATAAATAAAAACATACTGATGACTTTTACAGTTTAAAATTAGGTAAGGGAGTATGTTCTTTGTCAGGTAAACTATATCAATTACTACTTCCTTAATTGTTACTAAGTTAATACATTTTAGTTATTTTGCTTATTATTTTTCATGTAATTTTACTCCGGGAGTTACCCGCATTACATAATATCAAATATTTTATACAAAATATTATTTTTAAAATTTATCATTTTAAATGATAAAATGCATTAAATTAAATTACAGTAATACTTAGTCTCAATAAAATATGTTACTATAATTGATGTTATATAATTTTCTGGTCTTTCTCAAATTTGTATAATTACATTAATTTTTAATATACTAAGGCTATGAGAAACTAAATTGAAATTTTTGAAATGCATAGAGTACTTCAATATTGAGTTGCTTTTCAAGAAATAATTTTAATTTTTATTATAATGAACTAATTCAATAAATTATCTTTTATTTTCATGATCAAATAATCTTTATTATTTAACCATTGCCATCAACCTAATGAAACACCTGGATAAAGACTTTTTTTATTAGAAGAAGAAAGGAAGAAAAGAAGGAAGAAACAAAGAAGCAAAGGAAGAAAGAAATCAAGAAAGCAACCAAAAAATAAACAAAAAAAATTGTCTTTCCTCAGATCTATGTTAATGAAAACCAAGTAGCCAATTTGCATGTCTATTTTTCAACGGCAATAACTAATTTTCTCTACCAATTCTTCTAAATGAGTAAAACTGATTGAATTTTTCGTAAATTAATAAAATATCTGGTTCTTCTAAAAGTATAAATTTTTTATGCACTGATTGTCATCTCTATTAAATTTATATTATTTTCTGACTTGTTTTTATAAACAACTGTCTTCCTCAACTTTAAATACCATTTTGTTAGTAGTGATTATACGATAAGGTTTAATGAATATGGTTGCTCATTGATTTCAACATTCAAATAATTTTTAAGATTTCCAATTTGGGATAACTTCAGCAGCTGATATGCTCTCAGGTTGTGTATAAATATATTTAATCAAAGAAATGAGTCCTTGAAGCATTTATTTTTTAAAGATATCCATTATGAATTAATGTGAACCCTTCATTTTATTTTGTATTTTTCTTCAGATACTGTCAAAATACAATAAAAATATAGTAAAAAAATAAGCCAGACTGATGCTTTCAATTGCTATACTGTTTATATTGAAGAGTTTTAATTCACATATCCTCTTCATTTTTTTACTTGCCTTAATAGACTTTTTAAATTTTTTGTATTATTATCAAGCACTAGGATGGGAGATTAAAGATTTGCCTTCAAAGAGCTCATCCTTTAATAGAGGAACAGAGTAATTAAAAATATGTTAACTGTTCAAGGTACTGTGGAGAAGCATTGAAAAATTATATGTAGCCTTGATGGCATGATCAAACTTGATTATTAGGCAGATTACTATTGCAGCAGTGTCCAAAATAGACCAGATATCAGAAAATTTGAGAAAACTAACTCAGAGTATGATAAAGCAATTCTTACAAATAACGACAGTCACTTGAACTGAGGACGATCTAGAAATACTTTGTATTGAATTGATTAGGGAATTAGTAAGAAAATGCAATTTAAAAAATTAGTCACAGGTTTGAATATGAAGATAATAAAAGGAGAACTTCCAGATTTTTGGCTAAGACAATGGTCATTCAACTTCATAATAAATGCAACAAAATATACAAATTTCTTCATTTTGAGAGAAAATGATGAAATTGCTTTTGTACATTTTAATTTATTTTGGTTGCAGTATATGCAAGTGCAGATATGCTGAAAAAAATTAAATGCAGCAATGTATATATCAGGAAAGAAGTTTAGATTTATAAAAACAAAATTTAGAAATTCCAATTTAGTCACAGTTAAACTTGTGGCTTTCTTGAGCTATGGTACTTAACCTCATCATGCTTCAGTTTCTTCGTTTATATACTAGTAACATTGTGGAGATAATATATTAATTTTATTAATACAAGTAAAGAGCTTAAAATAGTTCTCAAAATGTATGCATTCAATGAATATTAGCTAAAACAATGGAGACAGTGGTGTCTCTATTTACAAATTTTTGGGGTGAAATTTGGTTCTTATAAAGTTGTTCTGGAATTAGACGGTTTTGAAGGAATATGCAGCAGCTTGTTAAGAGGAAACAGAAAAAATATCATAAATTTAGGTATTTTGCAAAAAGGCTAGGTCCTGGGCTCAGCTGATGGGAGAAAGTGATGCAGTAGTAGGGGTAAATATCTACAATTTGTTCAAAGTCATTCACCAAGTGAACTGAAGTCCAAATATTTCCCATGTGATTCAACATCTATTCCAATGTACTTTAAAAAATTGGTTATTCACTAAACCAACTGTCTAACCTCATGAACCAGAGCAGATTTATGGAAACTAAATAGTTCTGGACTCTACTTTGTTTTATTCACTTATACTTCCATCTTATGCCAATTCCACACTGTCTTGATTATGGTACCTTTAGAGATGCCTAGTTTCCATTTTCCTAAAATACAGAAAAAATAAGCAAATTTCCTCATATGTAATCCATCCAATGTAAGTTCTATCTAAAAATTATATACATAGTAGAACCCAACTCATCATTGACTTAAAAAGTACTTTTTATTTTTGCCCGCATACATGAACAGAAACATGTGGTCACAAGAAATAATTCTGGAATTCTCAGATTTTACTGTTTATGTAAGATATCAATGTCACCAGGTGACAGGAAAAGGTGACCAATAGATGGGAAACAAAATATAAATTATGTTTATCTCTCAATCAGTATTTAATTCATGTATTTTTAGCACTTAATATGTCACACATGGCTTTAGGGAATTTGCAGAGAATAGGCAGATAATGTCCCTGGTACATAGACGATAACTTCCAGTAGTAGAGACAGATAACAAATACATGAATAAATGTAGTTAATTGCAATAGTAATAAATGTTGTAAAAAATTTAAAGTGGGTCATGTGCAGTGGTTCACACATGTAATCCCAGCACTTTGGGAAGCAGAGAAGGGCAGACTGGTTGAGCCCAGGAGTTCAATACCAGCCTGAGCAACATGGTGAGACCCTGTCTCTACAAAATATATATGTGTATATATATACACATATATACGTATATATGTGTATATATATACACATATATACGTATATATGTGTATATACACATATATACATATATGTGTATATATGTACACATATATGTGTGTATATATGTACACATATATGTGTGTATATATGTACACATATATGTGTGTATATATGTATACATATATGTGTGTATATGTATACATATATGTGTGTATATGTATACATATATGTGTGTATATATGTATACATATATATGTGTATATATGTATACATATATGTGTATATATGTATACATATATGTGTATATATGTATACATATATATGTGTACATATATATGTGTATATATGTGTACATATATATGTGTATATATGTGTGTATATATGTGTACATATATATGTGTATATATGTATACATATATATGTGTATATATGTATACATATATATGTGTATATATGTATACATATATATGTGTATATATGTATACATATATATGTGTATATATGTATACATATATATGTGTATATGTGTATACATATATATGTGTATATGTGTATACATATATATGTGTATATGTGTATACATATATATGTGTATATGTGTATACATATATATGTGTATATGTGTATACATATATATGTGTATATGTGTATACATATATACGTATATGTATACATATATGTATACATATATATGTGTATATATGTATATATGTGTATATATATACATATATATACATATATTTGTATATATGTGTATATATACACCAAAATTAGCCAGACATGATGGCGTGTGCCTGTGTCTCAGGTACTTGAGAGGCTGAGGTGGGAGGATCTCTTGAACTTGGTTGATGGAGGTTACAGTGAGTCAAGATTGTGCCACTGCATTCCAGCACAGGTGACGGAGTGAGACCCTGTCAAAAAAATAATTAATTAAAAGTGGGCACTGTATAAGGTAAGGACTGTAAGAAGAACAAATTTAAGTAAAACAGTTAGAGAAATCTAGCAAAACAAAGCTTGTGAGTTTGCTGAACATTGGATTGATTTGAAGAACATAAACTTTACAGACCTGCAGAATAGTAAAAGATGGTGAATGCAGAAGGAAATTAGTTTGCAAATGTGGCCAGAGATCAAGAAGGACCTGTTAGTCTCTGGTAAGTAACCTGAGCTTCTGTTTGTTTTTTAATTCATTGGGAAATCTTGGGAAGGTTACAAGAAAATAAATTATGGATAATTAGAGTTCTTGTTATTTAACAGACCACCCCAAGCTTTTTGGCATAAAACAATATTTTCTTTGGCTCACCAATCTGCAGTTTGGTGAAATGAAGGCTTATCTTTGCTTCATCACATCATCTGCATCAGCTCAACTGGGAGCTGGGAGATTCCACTTGAAAAAGAAATCTCTCTTCCACGGGTGCAAATTAATGCAGTTGACTAGAAACTCAGCTGGTGCTGAGGGGCAGAAGCCTCTGTTCCTTTCCACGTGAACTTCCTCAGAAAGGCTTCTCTGCTGCACTCTCTGGGCTTGACGACAAGGTAGCTGGACATAAGGTGAGCCTCCCAGGAGACAGAAAGTGGAAACTAGCAGTTTCTTTTATACTTGTTCTGGGAACTGGCACATCATTTTTATCTGACACTATTGATTATGTGTACAGAGTCCACATTTCAGGGAGAGGCATAGACTGTATTTCTCAATGGAAGGAATATTAAATAATTTTGGGACCACACTCTCTTCTGACCCCCAATTATTTACATTTCTCCCACATTCAATATATAGTCACACCAAGAAACCCCAGGATTTTTGTGCCATTACAGCATCAGGAAGAAAATCAACGACTGAGATCTCATCATCTAAATTATGTATATATATATGGATGATGCCCTTTAGTTGCTGTTCCTTGGGTATGTCTCCTTGAGTACAGTTCTCCTTTGAAATAAAGCTATAGGAAATAAAGAGGCAAGCTCTCTTCCCTCAACATACCCAAAATTTATTGGTTGGACAGACATAGGCTAATTACAATTGTCGTTGAAGGGGGTGAGTAAAAAGGAAGCCCAGTCCCTTATCCATAGTAATCTTTAAATCCAGCTAAAAAATATTGCTAAATATTTAAAGGCCAGGTGCAGTGGCTCGCGCCTGTAATCCCAGCACTTTGGGAGGCTGAGGCAGGCGGATCACAAAGTCAGGAGTTCGAGACCAGCCTGGCCAATCTGGTGACACCCCGTCTCTACTAAAATACAAAAATTAACCGGGCGTGGTGGCATGCACCTGTAAACCCAGCTACTCGGGAGGCTGAGGCAGAAGAATTGCTTGAACATGGGAGGTGGAGGTTGCAGTGAGCCGAGATCATGCCACTGCACTCCAGCCTGGACGACAGAGCAGACGCAGATTCCATCGTGCTCTCTCTCTCTCTCTCTCTCTATATATATATATATATACGTGTATATATATATATACGTGTATATATATATACACGTATATATATATGGCTAGTTTATTATTAATTTTTATCTCTATATATATGTGTGTATGTATGTGTGTGTGTGTGTGTGTGTGTGTGTATATGGCTCGCTGTCTCTCTCCATATATATGTATATATATATGGCTAGTTTATTGACTGGGTCACAGTGTTGCTTTCCAAGGGTTATTCTTACTGGCTTATAGTGTCCTTCTTTTGGATCTTTGTTCTACCTTCTGAAACTTATTTTATTTTCCATAAAATGTAGCTTCTGTTCGCTCCTGAGTAGTTTTCTCACCACAAAAGTTTAGGAGTTTAAATGCCTATTTTCATCTTGTACTGTCTTTGTTTCTTTCAGTCTAATTTGGCAGGGCTTTCACCAGAATCATTTATAGGCATTCTTTGAGTTTTATTGCTGCTCACTCAATTAGGTAGAAGCCACAACCAGAAATCTCATTGAGGTAAGCTTTACTACAACTTGAGATCATTGTAAGGCTACTATGGGACAATAACAGCTAATTGAACTTGGGGCTTATCCTGCACTGGCAGTCCGGTATAGCTGGAGCTGGAACAGCAGGTGAACTGGGGCTGGCCATATCACCATTCTTATAGTCTCAAGGTCTTCTCATTGTGGTCTCTTCATGTGGGCTAATTTGGGCTTTGTCACATCATGGTGGCTGGGTGTCAAGAGTGAGTATCCCAATAGAACCATGTCCAGTTTGATGACCTAGCCTTAGAAGTCACATAGCATAAGACATAGACATAAGACCCCCAGGATTAAGGAGAAGGCAACACAGACCCTCACCTCTTGTTAGGAGAATTGTCAAGGTCATATTGTAAGTGAAAGTACAATAGAACATCATATTATGGTCATTTTTAAGAAAATACAGTCTTCCACAGGTAGAATTTAGACTAAATTAATATAACAAAGTAATCAAATATGTAATCATTTTACAAAGTTTTATATATGTGTGTATATATGTATACGTATATATGTGTATACATATATACGTATACATATATATGTATATATGTATACATATGTATATATGTATACATGTATATATATACGTATACATATATACGTATATATGTATACGTATATATATACATGTATACATATATATATATATGTTGTTGTTGTTTGTTCTCATTGCAAGAGTCCAGACATACATAGGCCTCATCTGGTACCGAGGCTCCAAAGAACGGTAATTCCCAAAAGATGGCTTTCATTTCTGGTCAACTGTAGGAAATAATACTTCCCTGCCAATGAGTAAAGACCAAGGGAGTATATGTCATGTTTGTTTTAATTGCATCCTGAAGTAGCAGACATTACCTCGCTCCCCTCTAATTGGACAATACTAGTCATATGTAGTCATATGTTATAATAACCTGCAATAGAAGATGGAGTGCTTAGTCTTTAGCTGGGAAACAATGTGTCTAACACAAACCTAGTGGTTCTATCAACAACAAAGGTAAAATGAATGTCATTGGAAAACTGGCGGTTTCTGCTACAAGTGGCATAATCTAATCATTGTTTCAAATTATATATGTAGTAGTGTTTGGAGAATAAACTGGGAAGTGGTAAGAGTAGAGGCAGATCCTATGTTAGGAGGCAATTACAATGGCCTAAGAAATATTTGGTGTTGGCTTGGGCAAGATAGTAACTGTAGAGCCTGGACTTAGATTTTTGGATTGACTAACTAGGTATATAGTGGTATCATTACTGAAAAAGAGAAAAAGTTTTCTTATAGGGTGGAATTGAAATATATACTTTCATTTTCTTATATGTTAATATTCTGATTTTTTTGTGACAACTAAGTCAAAATGGCAAGTTGAAAGTTAGCTAAATTCATCTAGAACTCATAGGAAAAGTCATGGGCAGAATTTTTAATCTGGGGTCAATAGTATGGAAATGCTCTCTGTTGAAATATCTAAACTACAAACTTGCTTTGGGAAACTCAAGATATCAGAAAATAACTGAAGAAGAAAATGATGCAGAGAAGTGAGGAGCAGTAATGTTGCTGTTTGTTAAAAGGCTAAAGGAAGTCATCCGGGAGGCAGAAACCCCAAAAAGATGAAAGAGAAAAAGAAGACTGATACTGTTAAGCTTCTCTTTTTCTTTTCCTAGAGATTTAGTTGTGCTCATTAGGGTAAGTAATTCAAGGATATAATTTGGTTAAGGTTCTAGAAAGTTCTTTTAAAATTTATTCTCTGTTTTGTGGTTTTGTGCTTCTGTCTTTCTGCTTCGTAAATATATCTTACTAAGTATATATAGTAAATATATCTTGCTCAGAAGCAATTACACATATTACCCAATAGAGGATCTCCCTGTTTTTTCTCTCCCATGGTATCTAGTTATTTATCTTATAATATTTAATATAATTTAAAATTTTGTCCTACTTTGTACATTTTTTGTGCAAAATAACCTATCTTATCTAGGATTCAACATCCTAGAGCGTAGAATTTGCACTTTGCATAAAATTGGAACTTTTCAAAAATGTGATTAATGACCATTGGACGTGTAATTTGGAGTTCCATCTACAAACACATTACTGACTATATAATTAACAACAAAGAAGGGACCCTACTCAAAGAAGGTTGGGGGCATGTGACTCAGTTTTAGACTGAGTTGGGGAAGCATTGATTTTCCCTTTTGTCTTTGTAGAGTTTTTTCCTTGGAGACAGCTCTTTTTGCTGTCTCTTCACCATTAGAGTCATAGTATTTGGAGAGCCATGATTAAAGGAAAGAACTGTGGAAAATGGGCCAAGAAACCCATTAGTGAAGCTTTTAGTGTTGTTCTAAAGCTTGCCAGTGGTCTAGGCGAAAGGAGTTCTGAAAGCTTTATATAATAGACTAACCCAACTCATGAATCCACTGGGGCTTGGACAAAAGCCATAGCTAGAATTGGAATGTGTACACTACTTCTCTGTATCCTCTGGCTATCTCCCTTTTGATTTTATGGCTCTAGAAAATGGGTGGTTGAGGATTCAGATATTCTATCTAGAAATCAAATATAATTTCAGTGGTGAAATAACATGCGAAAGTAAAAGTTGCCACAAGCCTAAAAAATAAGGATTTTTATTCACAACATCTAGATATCTTAACAGAGTCTAATATAAATTTTGTGATATGTGTGAGGTCACAAGACTAGTAAGTAAAATAACAGGAATTAGATTCCAGATCTGTTGTAATACAAGAATATGCACTCTCCATATTATATCAATTTGCTTACCTAGTAAATAAAAATAGCATTCACAAAAGAGAGCCTCCTTTGTTACCCTGAAATTTTTACAATTTTACTGGGTTTCAGAGAAAGGAGCATTCCCTGAGAAATCAGACCTGTGGGAGAAACTTATTTGCAACAGATAGATTTAGATAAGAGTAGGAGAGAAAGATGGATTTTCAAGGTGAGAGAGATATAAAAGGGCAAGTTAAGGCTTATAGTACCAGATGAGTGCAACTTGTTCTTCACCTGCCCCTGCAGACAAGTAATATGTTGTGACTGAGTCAAGAGTACAATAGCCACACACTGAATTACTTTAAATGTAATTATCTTTCTTTCATGTTGTTATAACGTTGTTGCCAAAACTATGCATTTTAATAATTAATAAACAACATGAACTCAATTTTTTCATAGAATGACTTGATATAAGATCAGGATTATTACAGCCCTATTTTTCCCCTCTGAGGAAATATTGTAATAAATGTTCTTCTGAAGTTACATTTTACAATACTTCTGAATCCATCTCTCACAAATTAAAAAGATACACATACATATTATTATGAAAATAAAAGCCTGGATTCTGGTAGACTTATTTGTTTTTAGACATTTGTTTCATTTTCAGACTTATCAAGATTTATGAGCTTTTTACTCCTTACGTGAACTTTATACCTCTCTTCACAAATCAATTGTATGAAGAACAGGATTCACTGCAACCTGCCTAAGTGTAATAAAATCAACCAAAATAAAGCCCAAATTTCTCTTTTGCAAAATATGAATAATGTTACAGAAGAGAAAAACATTCGTCCTAGCTCTCCTTTTTACAAATTCCCCTAAAAGAATTTATGACTCAAGTGAATGACTAGTCTAGTGGGATGCAGTTTTCTAGGCTAAGATGTAAAATATCCTAAGAACATTTATTACTGCTTGACTGTACTTGAACCTTTTTCAAGATAATGGCCTGAAAATCAGAGATATGTTGGAAAAAATAGTGACTATTAAATTCAGAAGATAATACAAAACAAGATCAAGATATTGGAATTATCATTTATTTGTTGTCTGATCTACATTATATTCTGTGAGAATTTCTGAGTAGATTTTCACTAAATATACATCAACATCAACAATGACATTAAACTGAAAATGATATTCATTTGGTTGAGCTGTTTTGTAACCAAGTTTTTCAGAATAATTGTATTGGCCAAATACATTAGCAATTTGTTCGTCTGTATCTTCATTTTTGCTAGAGAGACAAAACCATGAAACAAATGAAAAAGTATTAAAACATTATGAAAACTTTAATATATTTCCCTAAAATACTTTGAAATAAATATTAAAAATCTATAAAAATATATCCAATAAGCAGTTATAAAAGTATTGTTTAAACTAAGAAGTCCAGGTAATTTAACTTCAATTTTATTTTATCTACAAAGTGAACTTTTTTACACATTTTATTTCCATATGAATTATTTATAATTAATTTCCTTGTTTTTATATTTATTTTTGGATTTAGACGAACAGCTCCTATTTTTAAACATATACATGATTTTTCTTCAATTCACAGTATAGACAAATTAATATTTTTAGCCCATAGGTCAAATAAAAGATTAATAATTTAGACATATCAGCTGTAAATTCATAAGAACCATATGGATGTCCAAGTGGAGGTGGAGGAGGTGATTAAGATGGAAAAAGGCAACCATGAATGAAGACACACAGATCCTCAACCTTTAAAACAGTAAGACACAGTTTTTCACTTATATTAGCCCTTAAAAACCATAAGATGCACTGTTGAAATGGTGCATATTCCAAGAACTGTTGATAGAAATCAAATATATTTTGATGGGAAGAATTAACATAGATAACTGTGTATAATTTTCTTTCAGTGTACACTTAAATTACCTAAACAATTAAAGCCTTATTTTCTTATTCTGTTAAGTGTTAGTAGTAAAGTCTACTTACTTAATAGGGCTAGAGCATGAAATAAGAAAACCAGGCATATCATTTTCTTTGTGTAATGCCTACATATTGCAAGTTGCATATTTGGTAGCCACTGTGCTAATTTCCATTTATGACTATGTCTGTATTTTCTAGAAAGTTGTTTTGTAACCTTAATTAAGAAATGCAAAAATGTTCAGACCTTTTGTGCAGCAATTTTACTAGTAGGAAATTATCCTAAGGAAACAATCACTTACACACACACACACACACACTCACATACACACGCACACTCACATGCACACATCTATACCATAAAATTTTATTATGAAATTATTGTAAGTTTATAAAAATATTTACCAATAGAATAATATTAAGTAACTCATGGATTTTTTATTAAAACTAATTTTGGTATTTTTTAAAGGACTAAAGATATTTTGGTACAGATTTCAGGGAAAATAGGATGCTAGCCCTTGAGAACATGCCGATCTTGCTCCTTGGCTAACTACACCATTCACCTTACTTTGGCTAGGGAGGCATTTGCAGAGCTCTCCTTCTGACATTTTTGTCTAGAGGAGGCGTTGTTGTCTCCCTTACTCTCAGAAGCTTCACGTGTGTTAAGGAAACTTTTTAAGTGTCTTTCCTTTTTGAAATGAGCAAGTGGTAGGTATATAGATACTTTATTATTTTTATCTTATTTATTCAAATATTTTATTTTCCTTCTATTCTATCTTTTTTACGATAGGCATGGACATTCTATTACACATTTGGAAAAATACAGAGTGTAATACACTCTATACCCAAGTCTATATGCAAAAGCTGTTTCTATTTTTCTATATTTGCATCACTAGGTATATGTTCTTTTTAAAGTAAATTATAGATACATTGGTACTTCATTCTAAATACTTCAAGCATATATCTCCAAAAATTAATATTCTCAAATTTTGCTGCAGTGCTATTATTACAGCTAAAATAATTGAGACAAATCACATAATATTACAAAATACCCACAAATTCTATATTTGAGCATATTCAGATATTCTAAAAGTGTATTTATAGCTGATTTGCTCACACCTGGAGTCAATCAAGAATCACACATTGTATTTGGTTGTGTTGGTTCTTAAATCTCTATTAATCTACAATAGACCCAACTATATTTTTCTTTACTTTTATGACATAGAAAGTCTATTGCCAGTGGTTGTCCATTTTCAGATTTGTAATATAGAATTGGTTTGTTTTCATTCTCTGAAGCATATTATATCATTACATTACACAACAACTTCCTGACTTTATTCAATAAGTACATACTGAATTATGAGTGTATGTCAGCCAGAGAACGTATAGCTATGACAGAAAAAAAAAAGAAAGATCTGTCTTTCTTTTTGCTCTAAATATTTTTTTCTCTTTCCTTTAGGATGCAACTGACTCACTTAAAATAGCTGTGTGGATATAGAACTTTTATCAACTACTATTTACTAAATTATATTGGTGTGTTTGTCCTCATCTTAGAATAGCATATCAATAGATGCTATAAAAACATAAGAGGTACGTTTGTAAAACATTGAATTCGGTTCCAAATATCTCAAAATTCTTCCCTAAAGAACACTTTTTGATCGAGATTAAGACATAGGAATCTAAGTTCATCAACCAAAGATGGGTGCCTGACTGCTCATCAACTAATTTTATATGACTCAAAGAATAGGAATTCAGAAGATCTGTGTCCAGCTTTGTCATGGGTAAATAAGGAAGGCACCCATAAATCTTATATAAGTCGTAGGAAGAAGTGTGGTTCTTTGCAGTGAACCATTTCCTGGAAGACACAAGACTGGGGGGATTTTTTAACCTTTGCTGTTTTCCAGGAGTACAGGTTTCTGGTAAAATTCAACATTGTCAGGAGCAGCCAGAGTGATAAGATAACTTATACACAAGACAATCCCTAATAACTTATACACAAGATGATCCCTAATGCAAATGGCGCCTGTGTCTGGAAGAAGCAGTGACACCTTCATAAAACTAAACTTTTGCCTTAATAATATGGTGCTTTCCAGTAGAGGCAATAGCAGAGCCCAGGAGAGAAAGTACTGCCCAGAAGCTAAAGTGTAGATCAAACGCATAATGGCTGAGGTAGTAGTTTCTTGAACTTATTTGTGAGCACATGCAAAAAGTCTCCTGAGTTAAAAACCACAACCACAACAACAACAATGACAACAACAACAACAACAGGGAGGACATTTGCAAAAGTACAGAGTCTCTGCAAGCTTCTGAAAACAAGAGCCAGTAAAAAATGTGATGTAGTAATGTTATTACCACACATGTGAATTCGTTTTTACGTAGTTTTGATGACTTGTGGAAGTTTAGGTTACAGTCACATAGAAAAGTATTTACCCCTTACCTGAAGCACCCTGAGTTTGAGATCAAGAAAAAAAAGATACTAAATGTTTCATCTTGGCATGGCTTGAGGCATAATAGTAAGATAGATATAATAGTATCCATTAATGGCAGAATTCCATCATTTTATAGATATGACTGTCTATGTTATGGTATGTTTTGTAATAAACATGTTTTGTTTTAGAAAAGGAAAATGTCAGAAATATTTGAGATGTCTGAAAGAGTGAAGTTTTCCTAGTGCTGTGAGGAGATTACTAAGAAAAAATGGCATGTACTAATTTTATTTGATTAAAATAAGAACTCAATAATAGACGACAAGCTTCAGGCTAGTTTTAGGAACAATAGTTCTTTCTTTGTCTTTGTTTTGTTTAGTTTTGAAGACAGGGTCTCACTCTGTTGCCCAGGCTACAGTGCAGTGGCACAATCGTGGCTCACTGCAGCCCAGCCTTGGCCTCCTAAGCTCAAGTGATCCTCCCAACACAGCCTCCCATGTTGCTGGGACTACAGGCACACATCACTACTCCTGACTGATTTTTTTTCTTTTTTTAATGTTTGTAAAGACAGGGTTTCACCATTTTGCCCAGGCTGATCTAAAACTCCTGAGCTCAAGTGATCCTTCTGCCTCAGCCTCCTAAAATGGTGGGATTATGAATAAGAGTCACCATGCCCAGATGAGACTTAACTTTCTAAGTAAATTAGACATAATTAACAATCAGTAATATAAACATTTTAAGCCTCCATTTGTAACCAGGTCCTTTCAGCATTTTGACAGAAGTTCTGTATCTTCCACTTCAATACTTAAATTTACTTTTCCTCAGGCACCTGCATTCAACATTAATTTTAAAAAGATCCTGTCAAGTACTACTCTTGAGCTTTTGTTTAATTATTCTTATTACAATACCTCCAGAAACTACCATGAAGGAATTTACATAATTGATATTCATACATTGAAAATAAAATAGAGACTTTGCTGAAGTAATTTCTACTGTCTACTGAAAATAGAGTTTTCAGCTATATTACAAGATAAATTAAATTGTGTTGTAAAGGTCTGGGTGCAAAACTATAATTTTACCATTTTTTTTCTGGAAAATATGGGTTCGAGTTTCTAATTCATAAACTTAAATTGTTCTGTGGTGAAATTAAAAAGTTTCTTGAAAAGTACTTGTATGAAAACTAGTTTTTCTCCGTGTCTACTATGTAGTGTTTCTCAAACTTGCTACTATGGATGCGAGAAGGTTTTTGAAAGTATTGCTTTTTTACGTTCCACAAGTTCTCTACTAAAATTTTTATTTTAGTTTTATCTTTCTATTTTGATAATAATTTCACAATAACCTTATATAAGCATATTCTTTATCAGATACAATACAGATCGGTTATTTCAGTGCCATGGCTGCCTTTGGGTTTATGATATTTTTGGCTCCGAGTTGTATGATGAGAAGTTAATGAACAAATGAGATAGAGAAGCTACATATGTAATACATTTGTCCCAAGTGAAGCCCAAATTACACGCCGATGACACTATAGAAACAAAAGTTTGGTAGCATTTTAATGTGAGTAAAATGAGAAATCAAGTAATTTCATGGCTTAGGGTTGACTAGGCCTGTGAAACTCAACAGAAAACTTTATCACAACAATCATATCATATTTTAATTGAGGTTGGAAATTTACTGTTAACAACACATGTTCTATTATCTCAAATTTATGTTGTTAATTTTAATTTTATGGGTTTATAATTTGCTTGTGCTTAGCTTATAAATTCTCTTTGGCTTTATAGTTATAAATTCAAAGAATCAATTAGAGTTCATCCCAAGATTTATGTTTTTAAGTATTTAATTAATATCATAATGTAATTTAAGTTGATACTTGGATCAGCTGGAATTCTTTTTCATGTCAAAAATGTCCATAAGTTCATCAAGTTGGAGATATATGTTCATTGAATCATATATCTTTTTTTCCCTTTTACAAGTGCAAGATAAAGGAAGAAAAGAAAAATATCTATTAAATTAGAATAATTATTTCCAAGTATGTAGTTCAAACTACTTGTTTAACATTATGTCATTCTTTCAATCAGCACATTTTTAGGAGCTCCTGTTATCCTAATATTATTTACCTCTCAATAAATTTATTAGAACTTGAGAACAGAAAACAACAACAACAACAAAAAACACATACACTGAAGAAAAAAAGAAAATATTATTTTAAGGCCAAATATGCTAGTGCATCAAATAAGTAAGTAATTTCTTCTCAAACAGGAATTATATACTACTCTTGGAAATTTTTTCAATGAAGACATCACCACAGAGAAATGAATTTATGAGTTTCAATTATTTCATTTGTTACCATGACAACACTATAGACAGTTTCCCTTTTCTGTTTTTTTTTTAATTTTTTAACATAATATTTATTCAACCTGCAATGTTTATTAAATCAAGTATTTTGCCATGTGATGGAGGTATCAAATGGAACATGCCATCACTATTCTAAAGGATTTTGCTCTTTGGGGACCGGGGAGAATCTTATATTAAGTATCAGGGCTTGAATTGATTATATCAAATTCTCCTAAAATTGGTTAAATTGTTAAATCTCTGCTCATTATTTTCAATTATTTAATAATTTGTGGTGTTTCAGAATTTTTTATATGTATTTATTTTTACTTCGTTTTAGGGTGTGGTTAAGAGAAAAAAAAATTGCCATTAAGGAATCAGCAAATAGGATGTCTGAAGTGAGGATATAGCACCTATCTCTGAGATTAAAGTCATCTGATCAAAAATGATGCCTCTGAGACTATAACAAAGGAATGAATAATGAAATATAAGAATGGGGATTCTGCACTAACTCTATGGGGAAGAAAACAATGGTAAGAGCAAAAGGATCAACAGCAGCAACTCCTGTTTCCATCGATTTGTTTATAAGATGCCGTCTACATTATTCCAAAATATCCCAGCCTTTTTCTCCCCTGTCAAGCTTCCCTGTCTCTAAAAGAGATCTTGCTCTTCCTGCACAGAAAGAAATAATAATATATCACTGAAATATTATTATTACATTTAAAGTTACTTACACTCTTTCCCATTCCTATAATTTCCTAGTTGGAAGCCCTCGCACTTGGGAAATTATTTAATGTGATTTTTTCTCCCTGACATATAAATTGTCACATCACCTTAAATGTTGGGACTTCAGGTTGGGAAGTGGGTGGATAATATTCTTGAGGAAGCTGCCTTCCTTTTATAGATAATGTTACCTCCTTGTAAAGGTTGCTTTCTATGTATTATTCTACTTTTTTTCTAAGAATATACCATATAATGAAAACTTTACAGGCTTGACATCCTATTACTAAGATTATAATTGTTGAGGTCTTCAATAGAATTTCAAGTCAAATATGTTGTGCTATATGCCTACTTACATTTCACTCTTTGATTCACCTAGTTAGGATCTCAGAATTGAACTTTAATTGCAGATTTATTACTTCTTTACTCTCTTCATGTATTAATTTAAAATTTACTTTTTCCTACCTTCATCTTGGTTTGAGAAGGTTATTTCCCTTTCATTTGATTTATTTGTTTTAATTTACATGTGCATATTTATTACCTGTATATAAGCAAAATTTATAGAAGAGGATAGTATGAGTTAATAAATAAGTATATTATCAGGATATTTTCTTTATATTTAATATATGTTGTAATTAAAATGCACTGTTTAGCTGAACTGTGCCTCCTGGAAACTGTAGCATTTAAAGACAGCACTATGTGAAATATAAAATTATGTTTTTTTTCTCTGTGTCTATGATTTATTGAAGTAATGTTCTTCAGGAAAATTTTTTTAATTTTCAAATTTATAATTGACATAATAATTGTACATATTTATAGGGTACAATGTGATGTTTCAATGCATGTCGATAATATAACGATCAAATTGGAATAATTACCATATCTATCACTTTAAACATTTGTCATTTTTATGTGACAGGTGACAGCATTTAAAATATTCTGTTCTAGCTATCTTGAAATATACAGCAAATTGTAGTTTGCTGTAATCATCCTTCTGAAATTAATTTTTTCTGAGTTTAGATTTTCAGAACACCAAACTGGTAACCAAATTATTAATCAAATTGACAGAAAATTTTATTCTTGTTAATAAAAATACCAATTTATATTTACATTTGTAACTGCTATGTCTATTGTGAGCTGTAATCCCTTTATAGAGGTAAATATGCAAATAAAATAAGCAAATGGTGAAAAAGCAGCCTTTCAGGCTGACTACTTTCTAAATAGATCTAAACTTCAATCCAAATAAGAAAATGCAATATTGAAATTTTAAGGATGCTAAGTCATTTTGTGGGGGTAAAGGATTAATATTAAATTTCAGGAGTTAGATTAGGACAGTGACTAAAATGAATAAGATTAGGAATTCAAGATTTTTTCTTAAATGTATTGAGCTGTGATGACCCATGTCAATTAAAATTTTCCAGGTTACGTGACAAACACTATAACCTTTACAACATAAATTGTGGAGATTTGTATTTTGAATAAGGTTCAACTAAGTAGAAATGATAACCTCCATAATGTTATTTACTACTCCTGGAAATTTTTTTTGATAAAAAATAAAAATGTTATCGTAATTACAGTAGTGAGTCATATGTAATGCCTCAATGGCAATTTTAGTTTATTGTCCCCCAAAATAACATTACTATTCTACATAGCTAAGTTTATTGGTTTCAGCATGACATAAATAGGCCTACGTTTGAAAAATAATTTAACCTCTCTTATTGAGGTTATCCTTTCTATTTACTTGAACCTTATTCATCTTTCTAGGCATTATCATATAGTGAAAAATACTGAAATATACAGATAAATATTAATTATAAATATCACAGCCACCAATTACTGAGCCATCACCATGTGTCAGACATGTTAAGGATGTATCACACGTCATTTCCAACACTCTTAACAGCACGCAGTGTAAATTTTTTCAGCTCCATTGAAATTTCCTCCATTGCTTATAAACAAACTGAGCTTAAAAGATGCTAAAGTAGCCAAGTGCATAGAATGAGTGATTGACATGGATTCAAACCCAGGCTTGAAAACTCAATCTCTTTCTACCAACAAAACTTCCTTAGAAAAAGAATAAACCTACACAAAACAATTGGGGATAGTCCCTACCTTTCAATGGCCACAACATTTTGTTTGATTTTTATAGATTTCATGTTCTTTATTTTCCAGCTAGGAACAATTTGTCTAACTCACAAGGTTAATGTGGATACTCCCTCTCAAAAATGTTTGTTTATTTTAATTCCCAGTTCCATGAAGTATTTTACGTTTATTTATAATTTGTTCTGAAATTAAACCTGCATGTTTATGGGTGTCACAATGTGATCTGAGGCACGTTGGATGACCCCAAGACCCTTTTAGTGTGTCCAAGAGTGCCTCAGTTTGTTTTCAAGTACTTATCTGTACATAGCTGGATCTTCTTTATATACTTCAACCAGAACAACATACCATAACCCACTGAGTTCAGAAAAGTGGAATATTCAGTGATCTACTAAGCCAATCATTAAAGAATTTCACAAAAATACAAAGCAACACAGATCTCACTAAACCTACTTTTGCTTTGCAAAATAACCATTTGTCATCAAAATGTTACTTTTGTTAATATTTATGTATATGTTATTACTATTTTAAAAATTTAGTGAATTGCTAGGAAAATTAGTGAGTATTTAAAATTTTTTTCAGTTTTAATTTTTGTTTTGTTTTGTTTTGTTTTGATATGGAGTCTTTATCTGTTGCCCAGGCTGGAGTGCAGTGGCGCCATCTCGGCTCACTGCAAGCTCTGCCTCCCGGGTTGACACCATTCTCCTGCCTCAGCCTCCCGAGTATCTGGGACTACAGGCGCCCACCACCACGCCTGGCTCATTTTTTGTATTTTTTTTTTTTTTTTTTAGCAGAGACGAAGCTTCACCGTGTTAGCCAGGATGGTCTCGATCTCCTGACCTCATGATCTGCCTGCCTCGGCCTCCCAAAGTGCTGGGATTACAGGTGTGAGCCACTGAGCCTGGCCCCAGTTTTAATTGTTAATACAGTAATATCAATAGATACAACCTGCATAAACTAAAGCTCTTTGGGGCCTTCCATGACATTAAGAACGTAAGCGGTCTCAAGATAGAGAAGTTTCAGGACTACCACTGTACATTTTTGTAACATTTATTTTATTTCTTGTATTGCTAATTTATCTTTATATAGTTGCTATTTTATAAGATGTAAACTCCTTGATAATAAAAATGTTATTTATTTGCCATGTCATTTAAATGCCATGATTTGCATAATTGGCATGTAACAAATATTTGGAGATTGTTGATTGGCAGAGATTAATTAATTTACCCTCATCATTACATAGGTAGTTAAACTCAGAGCAGAAATTAAAACTGAGATTTCTAGTAGTATTGTGAGTCACAGCTAGAAAATAAAATCTGTCTCTAAAGTGGGAGGATTTCATATTTTAGCATGGAAAATTATTTCCCCTTGTTCAAATATTTCAACTTCCTCCTGGTAAGTGTCCCATTCATTTTGCAGCCCAGGCTTAGGGAATAAAATTGGTATGAATTTGTTTACTGTAGAAGTGAAATTTACTTTCAAAATATAAGTTTTTAAATATCCACAATTAGGTATTGGCTGAAAAAAATGTATGTATAAAGATGAACTTTATTTAAGGAAGTGTATTTAGACTTCTCAATAGCTGGAAAGCCATCTCAGTCTTTCTCTTAATATCTTGTCTTCTTATATTTCTTTGTGTGCCTATGTTTGCATCTCATTTCTCTACATGGCTGGTGTTATTAGTCCATTCTCACACTGCTATAAAGACATACTTGAGACTGGGTAATTTATGGAGAAAAGAGGTTTAATTGAGTTACGGTGTCACAGAGCATATAGGTAACATGGATGGGGAGGCCTCAGGAAACTTATACTCATGACAGAAAGCAGAGGAAGCAGGCACAATCTTCACATGGTGGAGCAAGAGAGAGAGAGCATGAAGAGGGAAGTGCTACACATTTTTAACCAACCAGATCTCCTGAGAACTTGTTCACTATCACAAGAACAGCAAGGGGTAAATCGTCCCCGTGATCCAATCATCTCTCATCAGGTCCCTCCCGCAGCATTGGAAGTTACAATTTCACATGAGATTTGGGTGGGGACACAGAGTCAAACCATATCAGTTGCCTGATATTATTAATTACATGTGGCTCGTCAAAGCATCCCCCCCAATGCAAATCGAATCCCAAATACAGACAGTGGGTACACAGCTTTACAGGTCAATCATGCATAGCTAAGCTACACGGCATTGCCTTGTCTCCATTCCAAAGTCCCCAGAGAAAAATCCAATGGATCCCGTGTAAGTGAGTTATCTATTCTCTCTATACCGTTCTCTGAGCCTAGGGTGGCAGCATGTTTAGGTTGAGAGGGGGAGTGTTGTTTTACATAAAGTGTTAAGCTAAGTGTATGTTCTTTATGAAGGAATACAGAGAAGTAGATATATGGGAAAGATCTGTACCTTTAGGACTCCAAATTATCAAATCCTTCAAAAGATGTATAGGGAATCCTTACTGATCTATGAAACACTAATCCCCAAATTATATAAACTTTTGCTTAGTAGTTTTAATACTACTTGCCATAAGGCCTCTGGAAGATTTGATTAAAAATAAAAACGGTATCGTAACTACAGCAGTGAGTCATATATAATGCCTAAATGGCAGTTTTAGTTGGTTGTCCTAAAAAATAACATTACTATTCTACAAAACTAAGTTTTCTGGTTTCAGCATGACATAAATAGGCCTATGTTGGAAAATAATTTAAATGTAACTGTACACATACATATTGAAACTTTTCAGGATACATTTTTACTATGAATTTGCTGTATCTGAAATGTAAAGAAATATACAATGCAGATTTTTATATAAAGCATAATGTAGGGGAAATTATGAAATTTCAAAATAAGCTTTCAGTAGCATTGTAATATGCTTTTGTAGAAACCAAGTTATCCAGAAGGCACAAGGAGTTGCAGTGTGTCCTAAGTCAGCAATGCACAACGCCTAATTTATTTTCCATTAAGTTTTGTGTCTAGAAGTTACATAATATCTAAGAAGGAGCTTAGAGGAAAGCTTTAGAACAAATGAAACTAAGAGCTATAGGTTGTCATTACAATATTCTTTAAGAGCTTATCTATTGTCCTGCAATAAATATATTGCTAAAAAATTTGTTCAATAAGCAAACCTTACAATAAAGTGACACTGATGTACATAATCATATACTTTTAATACTGTTTTCAAAAAATATTCATGAAATAAAATATCGAAGTCCTTTCTACATTCCAGTAATAACTGGACTACAGTTGTTGACTACAGAACATATATTGCACGTTGGTTCTGTTCACTATTAAGAATCCAGCTTAATACGAAAAATGAATATAGAATCTACATACAATATAGTAATCATTACAATTTGTGTATGTAGCTCTCCTTGCATCTTCTTGTCGAAGTAAGTGGTAATGATTCTGTATGATATATTTTTATATTATAGACTGCTAGTGGGAAGACTTAGGCATGTCAACTTTTCCTTTGTGGGAGAGGTTAGGAGGCTGAGTGGATGATCAAAAGTGCTGCAACACAGAGATCAGCTGAGTCTGAAAGGGGAAGACAATCCATTGTGCTGATTATAAGTATCCTTCCGTTCTAGATAGGTATAAGTTTTAATTTTACACTGGGTTGGAGAACTCTAAGGAATTTAGACATATAAGTTATTTTTCTTATTCAACTTTCATTAAAGAAAACAGTTGTAATGTTTTGTTTGTTTGTTAAAAAAAAAAGAAAAGAAAAGAAAGAAAAGAGGGCCAGGCACGGTGACTCACGCCTGTAATCCCAGCACTTTGGGAGGCCGAGGCAGGTGGTTCACCTGAGGTCAGGAGTTCGAGATCAGCCTGGTCAACATGGTGAAACCCCGTCTCTACTGAAAAAAAACAAAAAATTACCCAGGCATGGTGGCACACGCCTGTAATCCCAGCTACTTGAGAGGCTGAGGCAGGAGAATCGCTTGGACCCATGAGGCAGAGGTTGCAGTGAGCCAAGGTCCTGCCATTGCACTCCAGTCTGGGTGACAGAGTGAGACTCAGTCTCAAAAAAAAAAAAAAAAAAGAAAAAAGAAATAAAAGAAAAGAAGAGGAAAAGATAACTCTGTTATACCAATTACTAGGTATGTGAAAGAGAAAACAACCAACAGTGTATAAGGGCGACAGAATCAAGGCTGGGATATGGAAGGAGGGGAGGAAGAGAGGAAGAGAGAACAGAAAATATTTTTCCAAGTTGTGGTTCTTGATCCAAGATCTGAAAATATAAGGTTTAACTTGCCAAAGTAGGGCAATGGCTTGCCAATGGGACAACGGCTGCTTTGTAAAACCATTTGCTCTGAGTTCAGATAAGTAAAAACTATTTCTCCTATTTTCCTTGACTCTCTCATGCATGATCTCGGGTTCTCTGTATTTTCCAGTTTTGGATGTCACCACCTATATCAGTTAGAGTCCACCTGCTATAGTAAACAACCGACACAATTACAGTGATTTAAATAAGTAAACTCTATTTCTGTATGTAATAATAGTCCTGTTAGTTCCAGTTATCAGGCAGCTTTGACCCAGGAAGACATTCACAAAATCAGACAATTTTCCTTCTGGGTTCCTACTATTCAATAGTTTGTGCCCTTGTGTATTCAGTCAAAAATAAACTGCTTCCACATCTTCATTCCAACCCATGGGAGGGGGAAAAAGACTCACCCATACAAAAAAGCTTAACTTGAATCATCCAGAAGTAGCATCCAATATCTCCACTCACACACATTGTTCCAAACATGAGGTACATATGCACACCTAGCCAGAGGAAAGCCAGGGACATACAGGTTTTAGCTGGATGGTCAAATGTTTAGATAAAGATATATTTATAGGGAATAAAGGAAATGAATTTAGGGAGAAAAGCACTACCTGTCTGATTTCTGATTTCTTCAAGTTACCTTCTGTTCAAGTTGGCTTTGGCTATGCAGTCAGTGGTTTGCTTTCATTATGCATTTCCTGACCTTAGTCCTATCCCTGGTTCCATTTTTATCATCCCATTACTATCTTTCATCCTCTCATGTATGCCTTTTTCTTTATTTTCTGATTCCACTCCCACCTCTCAACCCAAAATTTTGCTGTAACCTCTTTCAGCAGTATATTTTGGTACCTGGTACAGTCAACGTGCTGAGTGTTAGGGTTCCATTAAAGGAAAAATATACATTTTACATAATTTCATAAAGAAAGATTTCTTACAGTTAAGTAAATTAAACAGGATATCATGTACATAATGCATTTGATTTAGAAGTTGAGTTTTATGATGTTTAGAAACTGTAACAATAAGGATAAAAGATAATTCTAGAAAAATTCATACATTCAAAAAATACTATTGTAATAAAAGTATAAAATTTCTATAATAAAGAGAAAGTAATGCACTTTGTTGGATTTTGTGCATGCAATACATTTTTATTGTGCATCAAGTATATTCTTTACACTGTTTTGCCTACTGGGCTTCAATCATGATCAAAATAGCTAAAACTCATTGACCATATGAATTCAGTATTCTACTGGGGTAAGAGGGATAATTAATTAAAAATACTTATCAGTGAATCACATATTAGGTTAGAAGGCAAGGCATCAAACTATGCTACTTTTCATAGATATATCTGGTTCTTTACTCTTCATAAACAAATGGAAGATTTTCCTCACTCCTTTGAGATTATGCATAAGAAAATGACGTATAGACATATTCAATAATTATTATAAACATATTCAATAACTATTATAGGCATATTCAATAACTCATACACAATTTCCCATGTTCTCTTCTTTCTTCCTGCTGCTGAAGTTAACTGGGTAAACAGAAGGTGGTGGTAGAATCTTAGCTTCATAGGTCATCCATTAGCTGTATCCAAAGGAACTACAATCCCATGAGACTCCCTGCAGACCTACGTGGTGTTTGTAGAATGATCTTGGTTATTTATACCACTGAGATTTGAGACTGATTGTCACATCACTATAACCTACTTACACTGTTTGAAACAGACATTGTCAATTCAAAACAAACAAAGAAAACCAAACAAAAAACAGATCAGGGAAAGAATAAACAACAACAAAGAGAAGATGATTTGCTGTTCAAAACGGGTGGTGAATAGAGATTTTCCACTGAATATGAGACACATGAATAAGAAATGAAGGTGAGGGAGATAGCAATGAAAATATTTGGGGAAAGACAGTCCAGACTGAGGAAATAGCCTATGCAAAGGGCTCTAAGGCAGGGATTTTCCTTGCTTATTCTGTGTATAGAAAGGCCATTTAGCAGAGTGACCAGGCAATTGACTGACTGAAATCAACGAGTGGATTACTGATGAGAAAGATGGTGGGTAGATGGTATATGGTCTTTTTGTCATTGTAAGGATTTTGACTACTTGTCTGAGTAAAACATGAGAAATGATGTAAGTGACAAAATAGAAATTGTATTTTAAAAGAATCACTCAGACTGCTGGTTCATATAAAAAGTAAAGCGGACAACTGCAATCAGGCAAATTAGGAGTTTTTGGTTTTTTTTTTTTTTTTTTTGGTGTGTGTGCGTTGTGTTTTTTCTTTAAGTTCCTAGATATGTGTGCAGGATGTGCAGGTTTGTTATATACGTATACATGTGCCATGGTGGTTTGCTGCACCTATCAACCCATCATTTAGGTTTTATGCCCTGCATGCATTAGGTATTTGTTCTAATGCTCTCCCTTCCCTTGTCCCCCAACCCCCAACAGGCCCCTGTGTGTGTTGTTCCCCTCCCAGTGTTCACGTGTTCTCATTGTTCAACTCCCACTTATGAATGAGAAAATGTGGCGTTTGGTTTTCTGTTCCTCTGTTAGTTTGCTGAGAATGATGGCTTCCAGCTTCATCATGTTCCTGCCAAGGACATGATCTCGTTCTTTTTTATGGCTGCATAGTATTCCATGGTGTATATGTGCCACATTTTCTTTATCCATTCTGTCACTGATGGGTACTTGGGTTGGTTCCAAGTCTTTGTTAATGGAAATAGTGTTGCAATAAACATAACTGTGCATGTATCTTTATAGCAGAATGATTTATAATCCTTTGAGTATATACCCAGTAATGGGATTGCTGGGTCAATTGATATTTCTGGTTCTAGATCCCTGAGGAATCTCCACGCTGTCTTCCACAATGGTTGAACTAATTTACACTCTCACCAATGGTGTAAAAGCATTCCTATTTCTCCAAAGCCTTGCCAGAATCTGTTGTTTCTTGGCTTTTTAATGATCGCCCTTCCGATTGGCATGAGATGGTACATCATTGTGGTTTTGATTTGCATTTCTCTAATGATTAGTGATGATTAGCTTTTTTTCATATGTTTGTTGGCTGCATAAATATCTCCTTTTGAGAAGGTTCTGTTCATATCCTTTGCCCACTTTTTGATGGGGTTCTTTGTTTTTTTTTTTTTTCTTGTAAATTTATTTACATTCCCTGTAGATTCTGGATATTAAGTCTTTGTCAGATGGGTAGATTGCAAAAATTTTCTCCCATTCTGTCGGTTGCCTGTTCACTCTGATGATAGTTTCTTTTGCTGTGCAGAAGCTCTTTAGTTTAATTAGATCCCATTAGTCAATTTTGGCTTTTGTTGCAATCGCTTTTGGAGTTTTAGTCAGGAAGTCTTCGCCCATGCTTATATCCTGAATGGCATTGCTTACGTTTTCTTCTAGGATTTTTATGGTTTTGGGTTTTATGTTTAAGTCTTTAATCGATCTTGAGTTAATTTTTGTATAACGTGTAAGGAAGGGGTCCAGTTCCAGTTTTCTGCATATGGCTAGCCAGTTTTCCAGCACCATTTATTAAATAGGGAATCCTTTCCCCATTGCTTATTTTTGTCAGGTTTGTCAAAGATCAGATTGTTGTAGATGTGTGGTGCTATTTCTGAGGACTCTGTTCTGTTCCTTTGGTCTATATATGTACCATGCTGTTTTGGTTACTGTAGCCTTGTAGTATAGTTTGAAGTCAGGTAGTATGATGCCTCCAGCTTTGTTCTTTTTGCTTGGAATTGTCTTGGCTATATGGGCTTTTCATTGGTTCCATATGAAATTTAAAGTAGTATTTTTCTAATTCTGTGAAGAAAGTCAATGGTAGCTTGATGGGAATATCATTGAATCTATAAATTACTTTGGACGGTATGGCCATTTTTACGATACTGATTGATTCTTCCTATCCATGAGCATGGAATGTTTTTCCATTTGTTTTTGTCCTCTCATTTCCTTGAACAGTGGTTTGTAGTTCTCCTTGAAGAGGTACTTCACATTCCTTGTAAGTTGTATTCCTAGTTATTTTATTCTCTTTATAACAATTGTGAATGGTAGCTTATGATTTGGCTCTCTGCTTGTCCATTGTTGGTATATAGTAATGCTTGTGATTTTTTGCTTATTGATTTTGTACTGAGACTTTGCTGAAGTTGCATATCAGCTTATAGAGTTTTTAGGCTGAGACGATGGGGTTTTCTAAATATAGAATCATGTCATCTGCAAACAGAGACTATTTAGCTTCCTCTCTTCCTATTCTAATATCCTTTATTTCTTTCTCTTGCCTGATTGCTCTGGCCAGAACTTCCAATACTATGTTGAATAGGAGTGGTGACAGAGGGCAATCTTGTCTTGTGCTGGTTTTCAAAAGGAATGCTTCCAGCTTTTGTGCATTCAGTATGTTATTGGCTAGGGCTTTGTTTTCTCAGTGCCACATGGCACTTATTCTAAAATCGACCACATAATTGGAAGTAAAACACTCCTCAGCAAATGCAAAAGAATAGAAAAAAAGACAAACAGTCTCTGAGACCACAGTGCAATCAAATTAGAATTCAGGATTAAGAAACTCACTCAAAACCGCATGGAAATTGAACAACCGGCTTCTGAATGACTCCTGGATAAATAATGAAATTAAGGCAGAAATAAAGAAGTTCTTTGAAACTAATGGGGAAAAAGAGAAAATGTACCAGAATCTCTGGGAAACAGCTAAAACAGTGTTAAAAGGGAAATTTATAGCACTGAATGCCCACATCAGAAAGCTAGAAATATCTCAAATTGACACCCTACCATAACAATTAAAAGAACTAGAGAAGCAAGAGCAAACAAATCCAATACCTAGCAGAAGACCAGAAATAACTAAAATCAGAGCAGAACTGAAGGAGACAGAGACACAAAAACCTTTGTGTGTGTGTGTGTGTGTGTGTCCCTGTGTGTGTCCCTGTGTGTGTCCGTGTGTGTGTGTGTGTGTTTTAAGAAGGTGTCTCACTCTGTCCCCTAGGCGGGAGTGAAGTGGTGCAATCTTTGCTCATTTTAACCTCCGCCTCCTGGGCTTAAGCGAACCTCTAATTAGGAGATTATTATATTAATCCATGTGAGAGATGATGGTGGCTCAGATTAGAACATTAGCATTAGAGAGGGTGACATATGTCCTGATGAATTACATGTGAATGTGAAAAAAGAGAGTATTCAAAATGACTCCAGGCTATTTTGGCCTACACCACTGGAAGAAAGAGAGGAGGAAAATTGAGACAGAGAGACAAGACAAATTTTAAAAAATGCTTTCCTGAGAAAGTAAGAGGAGTACAGGGACGGAGAATTGCAAGAGATGCAAGTCAAGTATATATATATATATATATGTAGCTTCAAAGAAATAACACTGCTTTTATGATGATGTAAATGTTGATGGAGATGAACAAAATAAATAAATTCTGAAGACAACCTAAGTGTGTGTGTCTGTGTGTGTATATATTTATATATATATATAAATATATACACACACAATATATATACACACACACACACACACACACACACACACATAGGTATCAAAAATGTGAAGATCTTAACAACACCCCAAATTAAAGATAATTTTACATGCAAAGAAGTGTCCATTACAAAAAACACAAGAATCAATGGAATCAAGAAGGATATTCTTATAAAACCTTAGGTAAGATAAATAATAGTTGATAAGTTTTACTACATTACAGTTACAAAATTGTTTATTGAAAGATTCAGCTGATAAAATTAAAAGCTACAATTTATAAAACATATTGGCAACCCATATATCTGAAAGATATCCAAAATATGCAAACTACTTCTATAAATTAATACCCAAAATAGAACTAAATACTTAAGAAGAAATTTGAAAGAGGAGGAATAAAAGTAGTGATTGAACATATGAATAAATGAAATCAAGCCTCGTTACTCATAGGGAAATATAAATTAAGACCTTCATGAAAAATTATTTCCTAATTATCCCAGTGTCAAAATTTAGAACATCTGATTATATCAAGTGCTGGAAAGCCTACATATCAATTTTTACTTTCATACATGACTGGAAAGAGCATGTATCAGTGCAACCATTATTTTAAAATGTTTTGAAATTACTTCATTTCTCCATTATTAAATTTTTTGTTACACTTTAATTATCAGTCTTTCAACGGTTTCCTGGAAATTCCGAAATGTATTTGTAACAATATACTCTATCTAAAATTATAAATTTTACTATGTCCCAGACAATAAATGTAGAATGGACAAATCATATTTACTCCAGCCTTTTTAGATTGTTTTCATATGTTAAAATCCTAACAATTCATGTTATAAAACTCACAAACATTGTTACTGTTGTTACTTCAAACATTTTCACTCCCATGCTCACATACCTGCATGCACGCATACACATTTATGTTTTTTTCTCTGCTGTTTATTTCTAATTAGAATTCTAACTGGTATCATTTCCTTCAGAGTGAAGAACTTTATTTAGTTGTTCTTGTAATGCAGGTGTGCTGGTGATGATTTCTTTTAGCTTTTTTTTTTTTTTTGAGGTACAGGTTGTTTTGCCTTAATTGAAGATTTCTTTCATCCAGTGTAACAGTCTAGATTGACAGGGTGTTTTTCTGTTATTGTTCTTGTTTTTATCCATTTCAGTAATTTTAAAATGGGGTAAAAATCTATAAAATATCTCAAGGTTCTGTCATTTGGAATATAAAAATCTATATTTGGATGAACAGGAGATTATAGGATTCCAAATATATTTAATTAAATGATGGCTCAAATACTGAAACCTGCTGAGTAGATAGTTGTTCTTTCCTTGTTGGTCCTCAATAGAAAACCGGATGTTGTTGTTGTTGTTGTTCTTTTTGCTACTTTATAAACTGTATGATCTTTAACTGTGTTGCAATTAATATTTTATATTGTTTCATGTTTCATTTTATAGAGCTCTGTATCATAAATTCTTTCTTAATAATAATATTATTGAATGTAAGATTTAAACTTTTAAAACAATTATTATATAGCATGGCAGGCAGAATAATTTCTTCTCAAAAAAAAAGTCCCCTTATTAATACCTGGAGTTTGTGAATATGTTTATTTATATGGCAAATGAGGCTTCACAGATGAGATCAAAGCACAGATTGAGATGAAGAGATTATCCTGGATCATTAGGCTGGAGCTACTGTAACCACCAGGGATTCAATAAATGAAAGACAGAGTCAGGAGGATCAGAGTCAGCGAGATTTGAAGATGATGCTTCTCTGCTGGCTTTAAGGATGTAGGAAGGGGCCTTGAACTAAGAAATTCAAGAGAGGCCTGTAGAAGATGGAAACTATGAAAGAGTGGATTCTCCAGTAAAACCTCTAAAAGAAATGCAGACCTGTCAACATCTGCACTTCAGCCCAGTGAAACCCATTTCAGACTTTATACCTCCCAAATTGTGGAATAATGACTTTATTTCATTTTAATCCACTAAATTTGCACATATTAATCTTTTTGAGCTCTGGTGTGGTGAGCATATAAGAAGGGAATGTGAAAAGAGAGTGGAAAAGAGACTTTCAGGGAGGTTTGCAAAAACAGTATTAGGATTGCCTTGACTTTCTCTTCACTGAGCATTAGCATTTTATCCAATTTGTCCACAAAAAGGGAATATATATACACACATATACACATATACACACAAATATATGTGTATATATATACACACACACATAATTTGTTTTTTAAAAAGAACATATTTTTTAAAAAAGGTTGAATATATATGTATATATGTGTGTTATTCTCTCTATATACATATACGTATAATTATTTTTTAAATAGCACATATAATTCATTTTTTAAAAAAGTTTAAATATATGTCTGTGTGTGTGTCTGTGTGTGCATGCGTTCATGCGTGTGTATAGGGTTGACCCTTGAACGTGTGGGTTTGAACTGCACGGGTTCTCTTATACTGAGATTTTCTCTCTCTTCGGCTACAGCTCTGATATAGCAAGACCAAACCATCATCTTTCTCCTCCTTCTCAACTCAACGTGAAGACAACAAGAATGAAGACTTTTGATGATCCACTTCCACTTAATGACTAGTACATATATTTTCTCATCCTTATGATTTTCTGAACCCCATTTTCCCCTAGCTTACTTATGCTGTATTGTAAGAATATAGCATATAATACACATGACATACAAAATATGTGTTAACAGAATGTTTATGTTGTCAGGTCAGCTGTAGGCTATTAGAAGTTAAGCTTTGCGGCAGCCTAAGTTATCCATGAATTTTTGACTTCATGGAGGTTGATACCCTTACCTCCAACATTGTTCAAGTATCAACTGTATGCAATACATATACCCCCCTCACCCTTCCAAAACTCACATTCTGCAAAATTGGCAGGGTGTATGGGCAGGCTGGAAACTTATACTGGATTTCTATGTTGCAATCCTGAGGCAGTTTCTTTTTTTTCCAGGAAACCTCAAATGTTTTTGCTCGTAACTTCTTCATCTTATTGGAACAGGCCCACTCAAATTATTGAAGTTAATTCAAATTTTTGAAAAGTTTAAATTTTATTTATGACTTATTTTAAAAATTGTTTGATAACTAAAAAAAGTATTTGTGGTGTAAAACATGATGTTTTGAAGTATATATACAATATGGGATGGTTAAATATAGCTAAATAATAAATGCTTTATCTCACATAGTTATTATTTTCACCATAAGAACATATAACATCCACCCTCTTTACATTTTCAAGAATACAATATATTAACTTTTATTATAGTCACCTTGCTGTACAACAGACTCCTTGAAATTGATTTTTCCCGTCTAACTATATTTACATATACTTTGGCCAATGTCTCCCCAAATCCCAAATCCTCCTAACCACCCCAGTTTCTAGTAATCACCATTTTGCTTTTTACCTCTATGTGATTAATGATTAATGATTCTAGATGCCATATTAGTCAGAGTTCTCCAGAGGGACAGAACTCATAGGATATATGTGTAAGTGAAAGGGAGTTTCTATATATAAAATATATATGTGTATATATATAAATATATTTACTATATTATATATTATATAACATATACTATACAACATAAATATATAGTGTATATATAGTATATAGTATATATAAGCTTGCTAATTTATTGTAGTTCCATTTGTCTATGTTTTCTTATTAAAATATGCAAAACACATATAAGTATGTATACTATATATACTAGTATGTATAGTACTAAGACTAGTATGTTGTACTAGTATGTAGTATATATAGTATACATATGAGATATATATATACTATATATACTACTATATTATATGGATATATAGATATATATAAGTATATATGTATATATACTGGTATATATTATATATAATATAATATAATGTAGTAATATATAATATATAATATAATGCAACATTATAATGTAAGAATATATAATATATAATATATTACACTGTATATAATATAGTATATGGAATATACTACAATGTATATAATATAGTATATGGAATATACTACAATGTATATAATATAGTACATATAATATAATGCATATAATATATATATAGTGCTGCCAGAAATGATTAACATTTGAGTAAGTGGACTGGGAGAGGAAGACTAGTATATAATATATATATCACATTTTCTTTATTCATTCAATTATGGACACTTAAGTAGATTCCATCTCTTGGCTATTGTAAATAGTTCTACCATAAGCATGAAGAGCTGATATCTCCTCAACACACTAATTTCAGTTCCCTTGGATATTGACCCAGCAGTGGGATTGCTGGTTCATATAATAGTTTTAATTTTAATTTCTTTAGGAATCTCCATATTGTTATCCATAATGGCTGTATTAATTTACATTTCAATCAGCAAGTGTGCAAGAGTTTTCTTTTCTCCACATACTTGTAAACACTTGATATCTTTAACGTTTTTAACAATAGCCATTCTAACTGGGGTGGGTGATATTTCCTTGTGGTTTTAATTTGTATTTCCCTGATGATTATTGAAGTTGAGCATTTTTTCATGTCTGCCAGCCATTTGTATGCCTTTTTTTGCAGAGTGTCTATTTAGGTTTTTAGCCCATTTTTATTTTAATTTATTTGGTTTTTGGTAATAAAAGTTTAAGTTTCTTATATTTTTTGGATATTAACACCTTGTCAGGTGTATAGTTTTCAACTATTTATTCCCATTCTGTAGGTTGTCTCTTCATTCTTTTGATTATTTCATTTGCTGTGGAGAAGCTTGCTAATTTATTGTAATTCCATTTGTCTATGTTTTCTTATAAAAATATGCAAAACATATATAAAAACATAACTGTGCTATGACGACTTAGCCAAAAAATTCTTGCCCAAGTCAATATCATGAAGTGTTCTCCCTGTGTTTTCTTCCAATAGTTTCATAGTTTCAGGTCTTACATTTAAGACTTCATTCATTTTGAGTTAATATTTCATATGGTGAGAGATAAGGGGCGAACTTTATTCTTCTGCATGAGGTTATCCAGTTTTTCAACAACATTTATTGAAGAAATTGTCCTTTCTTGGTACCTTTCTGTATTCTTTGGACCTTTACTGAAAATCAGTTAACTGTAAATGTGTAGATTTGTTTCTGGAAGCTTTTTTTCTGTACCTTTAATCTACATGTCTATTTTTCTGTCAGTACTATGCTGTTTTCGTCACTACAGCTTTGCAGTATACTTTGAAGTAAGTTAGTCTGATGCAAGTCTAAATCTTTTAGTTAACATCAACTGACTGCAAATGTTAAACACATCTAAAGACACCTTCACATGAGCATTTAGACTAGTGTTTGAATAATACCTGGATTTCATAGCCTAGCCAAGTGGACATATAAAATGAACCATCACAGTCCACTCCTTGTCAACTTGTCACACATACACATCTCTTTAAATCATATTTAATTTCCAAATAAAGATAATAGCAAAGAATACTTCTTTCTGACATGATACAATCATCCTGCATAACCCTGAAAATCCACCAACTCTTTCCCCAGAAGAGGATGTAAAGGTCATGGGTGGTGTTTTCTCTGATATCATGTAACTCAAATGCAATGATATACAGTTAATATTTAAGTACTATGTTGCAAAGTTAATACAACTTTTTTTATAGAAAGGGATAATATAAGAGAAAGCAAAGGTATTTGTGTATATGTGTTTGAGTGTATATACACACAGAGTCACACATATGTATACACATATATATGTACATATACCCCACATATATATACACACATATTTACAATTAAATCATATTTACAATACAATAAAGTTACAGTTTTTGTTTCTGAAGTAGACCTGTGGTCTTAGCTGGTAATTATAATTGCTTTCTTCCGCTATCCATTCTATATTACATTTGTCTTCAGCAATCACCTCAGCTGGTTGTGGTTCTTTGTCAAGTAATATAATCCATATAATCCAAATCTTTATTTCTTAAGGGTCTATGCCTTTTTTTTTTTTTTTTTGATGGGATCTTACTCTTTTGCCCAGGCTAGAGTGCATGGCCCTATCAGAGCTCACTGTAACCTTAAACTCCTGAGCTCAAGCAATCCTTACACCTCAGCTTCCCAAGCAAATGAGACTACAGATACATGACACCACACCAGGCTAATTATTTTTTGTCTTTTACTTTTTGTAGAAGTGGGGTCTTGCTATGTTGCCCAGGCTATTCTTGAACTCCTGGCCTCAAGCAATCCTCCCATTTTGGCTTCCTGAATTGCCACGATTACAGGTGTGAGCCACTGCACCCAGATTTTCATTAACTTTTTTTTTTTTGAGATGGAGTCTCTCTCTGTCGCCCAGGCTGGAGTGCACTGGCACAGTCTCAGCTCACTGCAAGCTCCGCCTCCCAGGTTCACGCCATTCTCCTGCCTCAGCCTCCCGAGTAGCTGGGACTACAGGCGCCCACCACCACGCCAGGCTAATTTTTTGTATTTTTGGTAGAGACAGGGTTTCACCATTCACAGGATGGTTTCGATCTCCTGACATTGTGAACCACCCGCCTCGGCCTCTCAAAGTGCTGGGATTACAGGCGTGAACCACCAAGCCTGGCCGATTTTCATTAACTTTTAACCACAGCAGGATATGGTAGTACTCAGAAGCACTAAGGGATCTCGTGTATTGTAGATATATTCTTCTTTACCTCAATTGCAGAAGTCTAATTTCCCTTAGCATTCAAGACCAATCACCTTGCGAGTATAGTAGCTCCTTTATTTGCCTGTTGATTCAGAGTCATGAGAAATCCAAATTGACTGAGCAACAGTCTTAATTTCCACTTCGATGAATTCATTGTTCTTTCTCTTGGTGCACTTCTTCCCTTTGGAATGAAAACTTCTAGACAAGTAGGCCATAAAGTTGCTGGGACAGAAGGCAAAAAAATTTCCTAGTGGATCATTAGGGTTTATAGTGAAAAGTACCATTCTTATTTCTACTCCGTTGATTCCTGGACCAATAAATCCTGGCTATGGGAGAAACAGCAATTTATATGGGGCACAGATTTAGAGCATAGACAGCCTCCTGAAGGAAGAACATTGCCCCAATCCTGCAAGATATTTCAACCTAGCCATCAAGGTAGCTGAATCTTCAAAGGGCCATTCTATCAAGCCAGCTGCTTCAGAATAGTGGGGAATATGGAAAGAACAGTGAATTCTACTACAAATTTGAAAACAGCAGGCAAATGTAACAATGCAATAAAAAACATCAAATTTCCCTATCCCCTAAAAGCAATAACTATCAGCATTTATTGTGACCTCTTTCTTTTTTTTTTTTTTTTTTTTTTTTGAGACGGAGTCTCTCTCTGTAGCCCAGGCTGGAGTACAGTGGTGCGATCTCGGCTCACTGCAAGTTCCACCTCCCGGGTTCACGCCATTCTCCTGCCTCAGCCTCCTGAGTAGCTGGGACTACAGTCGCCCGCCACCATGCCCGGCTAAGTTTTTTTTTTTTTTTTTTTTTTTTTCTACTTTTAGTAGAGATGAGGCTTCACCGTATTAGCCAGGATGGTCTCGATCTCCTGACCTCGTGATCCACCCGCCTCGGCCTTCCAAAGTCTTGGGATTACAGGCGTGAGCCACTGCGCCTGGCCCCTATTGTGACCTCTTTCTACAAATGTGTTTTGTCTGCTTTTATTTATTCTTTTATTTATTTTTGTATGGCTCATCCCTGTAATCTCAGCACTTTGGAAGGCCATTGCCTGCTTTAAAATTCATATTTTATTCATAGGTTGTGTGCTCTCTTTAATCTATAGTCATATGTCAATTAACAAAAAGATATGTTATCAGAAATGCATTGTTGAGCAATTTTGCCATTGTGTGAACAACACAGAGTAGATTGGCCAAATTTAGATGATATAGACTACTATACATCTAAGATATATGGTATAGCCAATTGTCGTAGGCTACAAACGTGAACAGCATGCTTGTTCTGAATGCTATAGGCAATTGTAACACAATGGTAAGTATTTAAGTATCTAACCATACAAAAAATATGGTAAAAATGTGGCTTACAGATAAAAGGAACACCTATATAAGACACTTACCGTGAGTGGAGCTTGTAGGAATGGAAGTTGCTCTGGGTGTGTCAGCGTGTGGTGATTGAGTGTGAAGGCACAGGTAGGACATTACTATATGTTACCATAGATTTGCAAAGGCAGTACACTTCAGCTACACAACATTTATAAAAAATTTTCTTCAATAATAATTTAGCTTACTGTAACTTTTTTCTTTATATACTTTTAAATTATTTTCAAATTTTAACTACTTTGTAATAACATTATAGCTTAAAACATAAACAACACATTGTGCAGCTCTACGAAAGTACTTTATATTTTTATTCTATAGTTTTAAATTTATTTTTTCAATTTTCATTTTTTACTTTTCAAATTTTTTGTTAAAAACAAAGACACAAACACACACATTAGTCTAAACATACATAGAGTCAGGATCATCAGTATCACTGTCTCCCACCTCCGTATCTTGTCTCACTGGAAGGTTTTTAGGGACAATAACGCACAAGGACCTGTCATATCCCATGATAATAAGGCCTTCTTCAGGAATATCCCTTGAAGGATCTCCTGAGGCTGTTTTACAGTTAATTTTCATTTTTAAGTAAGCAGAGGGAGTACATTCAAGATAATAATAAAAAAGTACAGCAAATACATAAACCAGTAACACTTGCTTATTGTCATTATTAAATGTTAGGTACTACACATAGTTGCATGTGCTATACTTTTATAAAGGTGGCAAGGCAGTAAGTTTGTTTACACCACATCACCACACACATGAGGGTAAATGTTTGGGCTATGATGTTGCAATGGCTAAACTGTCATTAAGCAATAGGAATTTTTCAGTCAGTGTATATTTTAAGGTTTTTCCATGTCACACAGTTTTGCCACTCTCAATGGCTGCCACATTGTTCACCTTACGGTTTTAGCATATTGTGTCTGTTTATTAGTGAAGATATTTAGAGTCTTGTTATAGCCTTTTTCTACTTAGCATATTTTTATATATTTTTTCAATTTAGTTAATTTAAACAGCAGTTTTCTATGAATTTGCTATCACCTATTTAGTGGCTCTGATTGATAATTTTAACCTTATATAATAGAGCTGCTTCACAGTTACACTTCAAAGGTACACAGTTTTAAAAAGTTGAACTATTTAAATTACCTAGGTTATTGTTATTGTGTAGTGCAGGATGACTAAACAGTTTTCTCTAAATAAAAAATGAATTACTCTACCCCTGTTTGTGGGATTTCTTTACAATGCTTGCTTAATCACAAATAATTGTTTGTGTAAACTACCTTTTTTTAATTTTTTTTTTAATTTTTGAGATGGAGTCTTGCTCTGTCACCCAGGCTGGAGAGCAGTGGCATGACCTCCACCCACTTCAACCTCTGCCTCCCGGGTTCAAGCGATTCTCCTGCCTCAGGCTCTCGAGTAGCTGTCCCTACAGGTGCCCACCACTGTGACTGGCTAATTTTTGTATTTTTAGTAGAGACAGGGTTTCACCATGTTGGCCAGGCTCGTCTCGAACTCCTGACCTTGTGATCCACCTGCCTCGGCCTCCCAACATGCTGGGGTTACAGGCGTGAGCCACCACGCCTGGCCAAAAATATATTTTTAGAGGCTGAGGTTCTTCATATTTTCTAAATTTTATAAAACAGAAAACTGAAAAATTTAAGAACCTATTAATATTTATAAAATGAAACATTATTTCTCAGGATATAAATCTAAGCTTTGTAAATATTTTACTCACACTGAAAAACATTGAGCCACCGCACCTAGCATTAAACTAACATTTCTTTATAGAGTGTCTGTATGAATACATGGATTTACTTTTTGTCAGTGCTTATATTAATGACAAATTAATGAAATTATTGATTCATATAAGAAATAATTTTTAAATTATTTTTTTAAATGTTTGTGAATACATAGTAGGTGTATAAATTTGCGGGGTATATGAGATGTTTTGATACAAGCATGTAATGTGAAATAAGCACATCATGGAGAATGAGGTATCCATCCTCTCAATCATTTATCTTTTGAGTTACAAACAATCCAATTACATTATTTATTTTTAAATATACAATTAAGTTATTACAGACTATAGTCACCCTATTGTGCTATCAAATAGTAGGTCTTATTTATTCTTTCTATCTTTTTGTACCCATTAGCCATCTCCACCTGCCCTCCAACCACCCATAAGTTCAATTGTTTTTATTTTTAGATCCCACAAATTAGTGAGAGCATGCGATATTTGTCTTTCTGCGCCTAGCTTATTTCACTAAACATAATGCTCTCCAGTTCCATCGTGTTGTTGTACATGACTGGTTCTCATTATTCATATAACTGAATAGTACTTCACTGTGTATATGTACCACATTTTCTTTATCCACTCATCTGTTGATGGACATTTAGGTTGCTTTCAAATCTTAGCTATTGTAAACACTGCTGCAAGAAACATAGGAGTGCAGCTATCTCTTTGATACATTGATTTCCCTTCTTTTGGGTAGTTACCCAGCAGTGAGATTCCTGGATCATATGGTAGCTCAATTTTCAATTTTTTAAGAAACTTCCAACTCTTCTCCATAGTGGTTGTACTAATTTACATTCCCACCAACAATGTATGAGGATTCCCTTTTCTCCACATACTCGCCAGCATTTGTTATGGCCTGTCTTTTGGATGTAAACCATTTCAACTGTGGTGAGGTGGTATCTCATTGCAGTTTTAATTTGCATTTCTCTGATGATTAGTGCTGTTGAGCACCTTTTCATATGCCTGTTTGCCATTTGTATGTCTTCTTTTGAAAAAAAGTCTGTTCAAATGTTTCACCCATTTTTGATTGGATTATGAGTTTGTTTGTTTTTTTTTTCTAAGAGTTTTTTGAGCTTCTTATATATTCTGGTTATTAATCCCTTGTCAGAGAGGTAGTTTTTGCAAATATTTTATCCCATTCTGTGGGTTGTCTCTTCACTTTGTTGATTGTATCCTTTTCTGTGCAGAAGCTTTTTAACTTGATGTGATCTCATTCGTCTATCTTTGCTTTGGTTGCCTGTGCTTGTGGGGTATTGCTCAAGAAATATTTGCCCAGACCAATATCCTGGAGATTTTCCCCAATATTTTCTTGTGGTAGTTTCATATTTGAGGTCTCTTTGGTTTAAGTCTTGAATTCATTTTTATATATGGTGAGAGATAGGGGTCTAGTTTCATTCTTTTGCATATGCATATTCAGTTTTCCCAGCATTATTTATTGAAGAGACCATCCTTTCCCCAATGTATGTTCTTAGCACCTTTGTCCTTCCCTTCAAGGCAGTGGATTCCTTTCTGGCCCAGGGTGTATCTAGAAATGTCCTCTGGGAACTAGGACCTGGAATGCAAGCCTCATGACTCTGACTGGTGCCCTATTCTGTTGTGGCTGAGTTAGTATCCAAAATGCAAGACAAAGTCCTCTCCAGTCTTCCCTCTGCTCTCCTCAAGTGGAAGGAAGGGGTCTCTTTTGGAGCCTGGAGCTGGGCAGCCAGGGGTTAGTGGAGGGGTGATGCCAGCACTTCTTTCGTTGCCCCAACTGGTATCTCAGATTGTGACCTGTCCCCTCAGTCCACTGTCTCTGGACCTAGTTCAGCCCTAGGACTTGCCTATGAGTTGCAGTCCTTATGGCCTAGACTGCCTTTTAAGTTTACTTAGAGACAAAAGCACTTTGGCCTTAGGTGACGAGGTTTTCCAGGCACTCAAGTTTGGACCACTGGGATTGGCAATTCCCTTCTGGCTAGGGCTGGTTTAAATGCTCCCTCCTTGGGCGGATATCAGCTGAGTTTCGTCTGGTTTTCCTTTCTTCTCTAACAGGACAGCACTGAGATCAATGCCTCAGAATTGCTGTGTTCTGCTCCCTCAGCACCCAGAGACACACCCCATACCACACGTCTGCTGCTGGGGTGGAGGGCGGGTGGCATAGGTGATTCAGGACTGTTTTTTCTATTTCTTTACTGCCTCTTTCAGTAATATGAAGTTAAAATCAGCTACTGTGAGTGCTCACTTGATTTTTCGTTCTTATGAAGGTGTGTCATTCTGTGTAAATAGTTGCTAACTTGGTGACCTTGCTGGGGAGATGAGCAGTGGAGCTTTCTATTTTGCCATATTGTTCCACCCATCCTGGAAATCATTTCTTGACAGCTGACTCTAGATGCTGAAAATGGTCATCAATACAACTGACATTATCTTCCTTGTGTTAGGATTTATAGTGAACGTGGAATGCAGATATTAAGTAACCCAAGTGGAATTTTTTTTTTTAATACGAAGCACAGATTCTACAGTAGTGGATAACCTAACTCATTCTGGTGTAAAATAAGATATGTTCTAGAAGAATAATTAGCTGAGAGGTCAGAAAGTTAGGAATTTAAGTAATATCCAGGGCTGAAAGAAATCTATAATATGTAGAGAGAGAAGGAAGAGAGTGATACAACAATTGGGAGAACAAGACGATCAAGACAACTGCATTTAGTTTAAAGTCATGCTAAAAATTAGAACCAATAGAAAGTGTGGATAGTGAACCGAGAATGTGAAGGAGAGAAACCAAGGTTCTTTCTGAAATTTTTATCCTTTTAAATTGATAGACAATGTTGCAATTTACTGACATAAGGAAGACTGCAGGTGGCAAAGTTCTGAAGGGAAAAGCGGGAGCTTATGTTTTGACAGATGAAGTTTGAGGGGCTTATTAATCATCCAAGGAGGAGGTCTCAATGAGACATGTAGACCTAGAGGCCTACAGATATAGCAGTCTTAGGGTAGAAAACTGTATTAGAATCATAAATTTAGAAATGTCAACACTTAGTATTTAAACTAATGAGGTGGGATGAGATCACCAAAGTAATCAGTGTGTATTGAAGGATGTTGTATAGAGTTATGTTGGGGAAAAATGTGACAGTGTATTTTAAAGCATTTGTCCAATTTCAGTTCCCATCAGGGAGCTAACCATTCCAGATTATTTGCTAATTTTTTCTACTAGCTATTTAGTTTGGGTTTGAGGCTTTTGTTTATGGGGTCATACTCTATACATTGAACTGCAATTTGTTTTGTTCTCTAATTGACATGATGAGGAACATTTTCTCTGTTAGTATGAATAATTCTATAGGATTACTTCTGTTTCATAATTTTTAGTGATATTAATATACCATAGTTTAATCATATTTGTATTTAGATAACTTGCAACTATTAATATTTAGTTATACATGGAATTGAAGTTGAGCACAGAAGAAGATGAATCAATAATAGAGGAGTTTATTTAAGTGTTACAGGTAATATTGCCTACCATCTAATAATATGCATATGTTTTTATACGAATATGGGTTTTTTTACATTTTCTCATTGGGTCTCAGATTCAGCTTCTCTAATAATAAGAGCATCTTACCATGGGGAGTAGCATTCTAGTGTCTGTAAATAAGAAATTTTAGTATCACAGGGCTTGCAAATCTAAGAGCACTATGTCATTTGGTGATCAATTGGATAGAAAAGTATCTGCTTAAAGTTATAGGAAAATATGGGTTATGCTGGATTGACTAAGGGATACACTGTAAGCCTTTAAGTGAAACCTTCCTCTCTATATATTTACAAATAATGTCGTTACTCAATATTTACTTCTGTGGTACTCTTAGAATCTACGCTCTGCATAGGATGCCATACCACGCTAGAAATAACGGCATGACAAAATTTCCTAGTGCATGCTAGATAACTTAGCGCACATGGAAATAATTCCGTGGGATGTATTTCTAAAAGTGGAAATGTAGAGCCTAAGGATTTATCATTTGTAAAATTTTCATAGTACCTTTGGATGCTAAACAAACTTACATTCCCTCAGCATCTTGTGAGAGCTTCAACTGCCACACCTTTGATAACATGGATATTATCAGTCTTTAAAATTTTTGCTGATATGATCATTATTGTTTTAATTTTCATTACTCTGCTTAATACTCTGATTGAGCACCTTTGCCTATATTATTCCCGTTTGTATTTTTAAATTCCTGTGCATCTCCTTGACTTCTTTTACTTTTCTTTGCAATGTTTTTATTTTGCTCTTTATAATGAATCCATATTATTTTCGAGTCTGCAGTCTTCTCAAGATTTTCACCCAGCCTGCATGTATGTGGATTTTAACTTGCTTATGGTTTCACTTATTATAAATATTCTTTTTCGCGTGTGACTGTGAGTGCATTGCAATCTGTGTGTGTGTGTGTGTGTGTGTGAGTGTGTGTGTTTACTGTAGTTAAATCTCATCTTTTACTTTATTTTGCACTTTCTGTCTTAAGTGATCTGCTAAGACCATGAAATGAGTTTGGAAGTTTTCCAATAATTTGTGTACACCAGAATACTTCTAAAAAATAAGAATTATTTGTTCTTGAAATATTGGTGGCAGTTCCCTTAACACCCTGTGCTGGGATGAAATTTAGGTATACTTCTTGCTTTGTTTCTTATCCAGCTTTAGCAACAATACTTTGCTGGGCCTGTTTGTTTAGTTGTGTGCTTTTCCAGACAATTTGCTCATTTCTGGGATCTTTTTCATTTTTTCCTACCAGCCAAATAGAAATACTGAGTTACTGACAACTAAACTTCATGGTTGTAATGGGTTTTCTTGTCCAGAATTATATTTCACATGTTTTATGCTTCTCATCCCAGCCAGTCAGCTTCCCTCTGAATTAGAATTTAACTGTGAGTTTTTTAAAATTATACTTTAAGTTCTGGGATACATGTGCAGAACATGCAGGTTTGTTACATGGGTATACACATGCCATGGTGGTTTGCCACACCCATCAACCCATCATCTACATTAGGCATTTCTTCTAATGCTATCCCTCTCCTAGCCCTCCAGCCCCCAACAGGGCCCAGTGTGTGATATTCCCCTCCCTGTGTCCATGTGTTCTCATTGCTCAATTCCCACTTATGAGTGACAACAATTGGTGTTTGGTTTTCTGTTCCTGTGTTAGTTTGCTGAGAATGATGGTTTCCAGCTTCATCAATGTCCCTGCAAAGGACATGAACTCATCATTTTTTATGGCTGCATAGTATTCCATGGTGTATATGTGCCACATTTTCTTTGCCCAGTTTATCAATGATGGGCATTTGGGTTGGTTCCAAGTCTTTGCTATTGTGAATAGTGCTGCAATAAACATACGTGTGCATGTGTCTTTATAGTAGCATGATTTATAATCCTTTGGTTATATACCAAGTAATGAGATTGTTGGGTCAAATGGTATTTCTGGTTCTAGATCCTTGAGGAATTGCCACACTGTCTTCCACAATGGTTGAACTAGTTTACAGTTCCACCAACAGTGTAAAAGTGATCCTATTTCTCCACATCCTCTCCAGCATCTGATGTTTCCTGACTTTTTAATGATTGCCATTCTAACTGGTGTGAGATGGTATCTCATTGTGGTTTTGATTTGCATTTCTCTAATGACCAGTGATGATGAACATTTTTTTCATATGTTTGTTGGCCGCAGAAATGTCTTCTTTTGAGAAGCATCTGTTCATATCATTCGCTCACTTTTGATGGAGTCGTTTGATTTTTTCTTGTAAATTTGTTTAAGATCTTTGTAGATTCTGAATATTAGCCCTTTGTCTAGATGGATACATTGCAAAATTTTTCTCCCATTCTGTAGGTTGCCTGTTCACTCTGATGGTAGTTTCTTTTGCTGTGCAGAAGCTCTTTAATTTAATTAGATCCCATTTGTCTATTTTGGCCTTTGTTGCCATTGCTTTTGGTGTTTTAGTAATGAAGTCTTTGCCCGTGCTTATGTCCTGAATGGCATTGCCTAGGTTTTCTTCTAGGGTTTTTATGGTTTTAGGTCTTATGTTTAAGTTTTTAATCCATCTTGAGTTAATTTTTGTATAAGGTGTAAGGAAGGGATCTAGTGTCAGTTTTCTGCATATGGGTAGCCAGTTTTCCCAACACCATTTATTAAATAGGGTAATATTTCCCCATTTTTTTTTTTTGTCAAAAATCAGATGGTTGTAGATGTGTGCCATTATTTTTGAGGACTCTGTTCTCTTCCTTTGGTCTATATGTCTGTTTGGTACCAGCACCATCCTGTTTTGGTTACTGTAGCCTTATAGTATAGTTTGAAGTCAGGTAGCATGATGCCTCCAACTTTGTTCTCTTTGCTTAGGATTGTCTTGGCTATACGGGCTCTTTTTTGGTTCCATATGAAATTTAAATTAATCTTTTTTTTAACTCAGTGAAGGAAGTCAATAGTAGCTTGCTGGGGATAGCATTGAATTTATAAAATAGTCTGTGCAGTATGGCCATTTTCACGATATTGATTCTTCCTTTCCATGAGCATGGAATGCTTTTCCATTTGTTTGTGTCCTCTCTTATTTCCTGGAGCAGTGGTTTGTAGTTCTCCTTGAAGAGGTCTTTCACATCCCTTGTAAGTTGCATTCCTAGGTATTTTATGCTCTATGTGCTTGCTATTCTTTCTCTGTTCTGTTTCTAGAAAGATAATTAGGAGATGTACGTCAGGGAGAATATAGAGGTTAAGCAGATTTAACCTTGAGGCACACTGCTAAGATATGAGTTAATACTGTGCTACTAATTAGGTTTTTAAACCTAAAGTTACATAATATAACTGTGTCTCAGTTTCTTCAGTACTTAAGGGGATAACTAAGGAAGTCTTAGTTATATACTTCATTAGTTGTTATAACTCAACTAATGTTATCTCATATTACTATTATCTTTTTATTGGAGGATGAAAGATTAAGTGTGAATAATTATTGCAGTCATGTAATATTTTTGTTACACATAAATCTTAATCCTCAAATTCACATTTGTGGAAATTTATAAATATTTTCTATTGTTCAATTGCATTTTCACATTTTTAACCTTAAATGAAATATAGCATATATTAAAGAAAATGCACAAAACATATATGCTCAATACATTATCACAATTCAACTAACTATGGAACTGCAACATGTTGAAGAAATAAACTGTTGCTAACATCTTAGAAGCTTACGCCTTTTTCCAGTTGCTACTCCTTTTTTGCCTCTGCCCTTAAGGTTTCTTTATTTCAACTCTTAACTCTGTTATCCAGTTTTGCCTGGTTTTGAGCTTAAAATAAATAAAATCATAAGGTGTTCATTATTTTATGCCTGACTTCTTTTACTCAACATTATGCTTTAGTCTATAGCTGTGGTACATTAATTTTCGTTGCTACATAGTAACATTCCATTATATAAAGATAACAACATGCAACCATTCCACTAATGGTAAACATTTCAGTTATTTAAATGTGTGGCTACTATAAATAAGACTGCTATTAATTTTATATGTCTTTGGTGCACACATGTATGCACTAATATATACATACAAACGCATGAGTGAAATTGTTAGGTGGTAGCATAGATACATATGTAGCATACGTACATATGTTTAACCTTAGTAGACAAAGCTACATTGTCTTTTTTCAAAGCATCACTGTTAGGCTGTCAGTGTTTATGGGGTTTCTGTTTCTGCAAATCCTTGCAAACAGTTGGTTTAAATATTAATAATTCTGGTTTATGTATTATCATATAACTTACTGTGATTTTAATTTGCTTTTTATAATTTCTAATCAATTGTTCACTTTTTCATGTATTTGTTAAGTTTTTGGGTATCCTCATTCAGGACAAGCCTATTCTGACACCTTGCCTAAATATCCATTTCTCATGGTTGTGTAGGAGTTATTTATAGTTCCATAACTCTTTTCAAATTCATGGATTGCCAAATGCATGTTCCATATTTACAATATTGATTTTTGTAATACTTGAAAATAATTTTTTTTTACTTATTTATGTTTTCTTTAATTTTTCTACATTATTAAAATATTTTTTCTATAGAGGTCTTCAAGATATTTTGTTATGTTTCTTCATAGTTATTCATATTTTTAAAGAGTATCTTTTAAAATATCCTTTAAAAATACTTTATATATTAAATTTATAGGTGGTGCCCTACTAGGTTTTGAGAAGGCAAATGTGCTTCGGATGTTTCTTTTAGGAGAATCACATCTATATTGTGGAGGGCAGTTGCAAAATAGTGGAGAAGGAGAAGGCCTTTACAACAAGCTAAGTTGTGGATAGTTAGGGCTTGATATAGAGAACTAGGAATTAATAAGTGATGAAAATGAGCAAAATCTAAGAGTCTGAGTCCACAGAAATTGGCATCTTTTGAGTGTGAAGAGTGATGGATATGATGAAAGGTGAAAGGTTACTTTCCTCCCAAAAATTTCACCATTTATTTTCTTCTGGAAGAATAAAATAAGATATTGCTGTTCAATGGGAGTCAAGGCAAAGTAGAAGAAGACAGGACTATGTTTTTACAAATGTTCCTGGCAGCTGCTTTTCACATTCTTTTTTCTGATGTGCTCACTACGTATGCGCTCAAAACAAAAATTAGTTAAATTTTTTTCTCCTTCTCTTTGTGCTTAGTCTCTGTTCATCATGAGAAATGCTCAGCGACTGCAGACATAAAGAGAAAGCTTTCAATTAAAGTTTCAATGATGGGATAGGAACTGAGAAGTCTGTGGAGTTTTCTGCCTAGGAGTACCCTTGGAAAAGCCACTGCTATGCCCAACCAGCACTGGGAATCCCAGATCACATGCAATCATAGGAGTTGCCCTGGAGGCAGAAGCTCAGCACATGTTCTGGTACAAGGAGATTACAGTGTTGTGCAAAGCAAAGGGATGAATGATGCCCAACTCTCTAACATGGGCCTCGGTTTCCACATCGAGGTTGGAAATGAGCTAGGAAGCAGATCCACCATAAATGGAGAAAGAAGAGAAACAAGTTGAGCTTTTAATGACCCCGTAGCCTGACTCTTTGGTATGGAAATGGAAAGAGATCCTCATGGAAACATAAATAAAATATATCACATGTAACTTATACCAATAATTATTTTCTCCCCCAGTACCTCAATTTTGCCCAGATTGGACTCTATTTTATTTCCTTATTTTTCCACAGTAATTTACTTAAGTAAAACCAGGATTTATTTTATTCATCTCCATGTCAGTTGCTAAGTCCAAGGGATGTATATAGTTTAAAAAATATCACAAAGGATGATATGGTGAAATTGAACAACACATTATTACCTGATGTACAGTCATTGATTTTGTATACTAGCCTTTACCCCTGGCTACTGATAATTTTGGATTTTGAAGATTCAAAGACAGAGACTTGTAAATACTTTAGTTTTTACACTTCTTTATCATACTCATACCTGGGATGGAAAAGTATCATTTAATATATTAAGAACATTGTTATAGTACATGTATTTAAATAACTCACAAGAGCAAGTAATCTTACCTCATGTCATCTATTTTTGAAAAAATATTTTGTGTATTTCCACATGCTTCTTCCAGATGACCTTTAGCAAAACTTTGTGAAGTTTCATTGTGGCTGTTGTCTTAGAAAGATGGTCTTGTTAATAAGGTCAGTGTTTTAGCCTTGCAATATAAGATTATGTGCATTTGTTTAGAGGGAGACTTTAGGATACAGCGAAGTGTTTTACAAATGTTTACCATTTTTATTCTTATTAGATTTTTGAAAGTATTTGGTTTAAAATTTTCTTCTTTTTATTCAACCAGCTCTTTAAATTACCCATCAATTCTTGTTAAGAGTGTGTATTGTATATCTCTCTATACATTTCATGTATTTTTGTATGAATTGTGCTATTTTTATAATTTTTCTATTTAGCCTCTGTATCCAATATGATTCAATGTATACATGGATGCCATACGTAGGTACTGATTATTTCCTCTTTTATTATTAATAAATTCTAATTTATTTCAATGTGTTATCTCTGTAATACATAATATTCTAGACAATATTGACTCCATTTTTTATGTTTTAGAATTCCTAAATTATAATTGCACATAAATTAATATTTTAATTGTCTTGATGGACACAGTGTTCTTTTACTATGCATTGTAATATTTATCATCCAAGCTATACTTTCAAATGTGTTTTATTCTCCTCCATTTTATATCTCAGTGAAGGTGTCCCTCCTAAACTTAGCTATTAAATGAAATAAATAAACTATGAATCATTCCACACTCTCTTTCTCCATTAAGCCATGCTGATTTTCCTCCTCAATGGTTCTTAAATTCAGTCTTTATTTTTCTTTCCCACACTTTTGTTCAGGGCAGATGCTTATCATTGTCTTTCCTGGATTGCTGGCTTAATCTCTTGATTCTTTTTCTTCTCTCATGTCCTGCCAGACTCATACCTGTCCTCTAGCCTGTGGCCAGAGTGCCTCAACTGAACATGCTACTCAATTTCTGAGAAATATTTTTTAAAACCTATCTATCAATGACTCTCCCTTTCTTGATTCAACATTCTTCACAAAGGGGTGACAAGTGTGATTAGATATTGATGTCCTCCCCTCTCAGGGCCACAGCAAGGGTCCCATGGTTGCTGTAGTGCCTCAGCTAAGAAAAGCTTAGTGCTTACCTTAGTGCATTATGCAAGCTTCCTAACTTTCTGAAGATTGCTTGACATGGATAAATGTGGAAAGCATTAAATTAGAACATTAAAAGTCCTTTTAATGACATAGAAATCTTTCTAGACTAGGAAGCGCAGCTAAACTATATAATATCCTTGTGCAAATCTGTAAAAAGGTATCATTTAGCCTCAACAGATGATTTTTAAAAGATGCCACAAGTAGACATCGGTATATTTGATAGTACCTTTTTGGAAAGAAAGAAAGAAAGAAAGAAAGAAAGAGAGAAAGAGAGAAAGAAGAAAGAGAGAAAGAAAGGAAGGAAGGAAGGAAAGAAAGAGAAAGAAAAAGAAAGAGAAAGAAAGAAAAGAAAGGAAAGAAAAAGAAGAAAGGAAAGTAAAAGAAAAAGAGAGGAAGGAAAGGGAAGGGAAGGGAGGAAGAGAGAGAGGAAGAAAGAGAAAGAGAAGAAAGAAAAAAAGAAAAAGAAAGAAACAAAGAAAGAAGAGAGAAAGAGAAAGAAAGAGAAAGAAAAAAAAGAAAGAGAAAGAAAAGAAAAAGAAAAGAGAAAAGGAAAGAGAATTACATATTACTTCTCTGGGCCAGATTCAGCCCTCTGTTAAGTTCCAGGAATTGGGCCAGTTTTACAAACTGCATAACCATGAGCAGAGGCCAAACTCCCATTACCTGATCTCTTGGTGTATCGCCTTTCTTTGAGGTATTCATCATGCTGTTTTAAAATTATGTCTTTTCTCTTTTTGTCATCACTGATTTAGAAAAACCTTACTCTGTTTCCTTACCTATCCACACTTTCTATTCGTGTTACTTTTTCCTCCAGCCCAATCTTGCTTCCATCAAATTTAATGTGTAATACTATCATAGCCATTATCATGCTATTTTCTGTATATAGTGTTTGTGTTTTCCAAGGGGTGAAAACACTGTAAAGTTACACTACTTCTCAATCCAGCAAATTTACTGTTAGTTATCTACCTAAGATAAATGAAAACATATATCCACACACACTGGCCCTACAGTGGAAACAATCTAATCATGTGTCACCTGGTGAATGAATTCACAAAATTAGAGAACTCTTATGTATGAAGCTATGTACCTGATTTTCTTACCTAAGTTATTTGAAAGCACAAACACACTTTTTTGTGTATATTTTAGTTGCGTGCCATGCCTGGCTCAGAGCTTTGCCTGAAAAAGGCCCTTGATAAATGGTGGATGAATGAATAAATGCATTAAAAAAAACCATCTATCCATATGATAGAATACCACTTAGCTATAAAAAAGAACAAACTGTAGATACATACTACTATGTGGATGAACCTCATAGTTTTATACACACTGAAAGAAGCCAGGTACCAGAAACCACATACTGTAAGATTCCATTTATACAAAATGTCCAGAAAAGACAAATCTTTAGAGATAGACTGGTGAATGACTTGAACTGTGGAGAGGGACAGCGACAGTTAATGTGCATATAGTATCTCAGTGAAGTGATGAAACATTCAAAAACTGATTTATGGCAATGGTTTCAAAGCTTGGTAAATTTACTAAAATATCATTGAATTCTACACTTGAAATGGATGAATTATATGATATGTAAAAGATGCCTCAGTTAAGTTACTTTTTGAAACTTAGATTACTTGTCTTTTCCTTATTGAGGTTTGAACCAGCAGCCCAAGATCTGGCCTATGGACGTTTTGATGCTCATATCTCTACCATTCTGTACTCAACATTTTCCCCTATTTTAACAAAAGCATTAGTTATTACTCATTTGTTTATAATAAGAATATAGAGGCCTTATTTCCAATTTGATAGATATTTTGGTTACTATTAAAAAGTCAGACATGATTGTAATATAGTTGCATAAATACAGTATTTTTTTTAACTAGTCACAATTCATTTCATGTTTTCCCGTTGTTGAAAAAAAGTTTTTTTGGGGCAATCCCTAAAATAAAAGATTCTGTAATAAAATGAAGTTTGCAAAATTGCATGATACGGTCCTTTCTTGAAAGATTCATAACAGGGACTAGGGTATATTTTTAGGAATCTTGAGTCTGAAGCTTTAAATTTCTTTCTTGTTTGACTGTTGCTATGATAATGCTACATTTTTAAGAGTCAAAATTATAGTAGTGCAAAATAATATACATGAATTTTTCAAGCACAGATCTGAAGACCCATTAGATGTGGATATAGTTGCTTTTTATACATCATTCATTCCTGGACCTGAGTGAAGGGACAGATCAACCTGGGGCAGGATCTCTTCCTGGTGAATAAAAGGAGACAAGAGACCATAATACACCACACATATGAAACTTTTGCTTGGATGTGGCATATATTATGTTCATGAATGAGAGCCGTAAATCAAAGATATGAGGAACTATATCTTACCCAGAGTGACGTCACAGCAAGGGAGGGAATGAAAGAAAGATATGTGGCTTTCTATTTGGAGTTTGCTTACTTTTAAATGGATCTCACTACCCTCTTTTTCACAATAAATTTTTGAATCCTAGATTCATGGATTATATTTTGAGAAACAATGATAATGTGAAATTGTAATTCTTATCTCTGAATGCGTATTAAAATCACATGTAGTGTTTTTAAAAATATTGATATCCACATTCCACCTACACCGATTGAAACAATCTTAAGGGAGTGGAATTCAGGCATTGGTATTTTAAAATTCCCTTCGTTTAATCTATGAATATATATGAAAAGGTTGAGAACTACTACTGTGGGGAAATGGAATGTGGCAGAATATTTTTCATATTCTTCATTTGAACGTTTCTAACTAGAATTCAATGTTTTTATATTCCCTAAGCTTAAGTTCATTTTACTTCAGGCATATCTGAATTTTAGTCTGTTAGTTACATACAGAGTAGTCATTACTGAAGTTTGATATGGAGCTTTATTTTAGCCTTATTGGGATTATATATTCCATTCTCCTTGGAGTGAGTCTGTAGAGAAGAACAGATTATAAATCGCTTTGTATAGCTTTCAGTGCCTTATATTTCTCTGGTATATTTCTACATGGAGGAGAGAATATATTTTAGGCCATAGATACACTATGATTAGGTATGTCTTCCAGGAGAAATAGGAAGCACAATATGGTTTCAATGATCTATATTTGCATAATTTAAAAAATGTATAGCCAAGGAATTACACCATTATTTCAGAAGTTCCAGAAGATGTTAAATTTTTGTAGCCCCAAACACTTCAATCACCCTATGGGAAACTCCTATTTTTTACAGTAAATTAAGCATCTATTTTTTGGCTTGAATATTTTATATATATTGCTTTTTAAATTAGCTTTCTAGCATTTTGACTATAAAACATTATTTAATAACCTACATTTAATAAGTCAGAAACATTCTGCTTATTTTTGTCACCTTTTTCACACTTATGATTTGAATCTTGGAGAATAATATGTAACATGGTGATTCAGAGTATAGGATAATAAGGAAATGAGAAGCCTAAATCATGTTAAAGCATATAAAGCAATACAAAGGGAAGAATCAATACAAAAGAAAAGCATAGTACATAAAGCAGGATGAAGTAATCGATAGCAGTGTATTGTAGCATACAATCGCAGATGATTACAGGTAAACCCACTTGAGTTATGTAGCGATGCTAAAGAGCTACAACAAATTTCCACTGCATGTTGGCATCAGACAAAGGATTAAGGGAATTCTGAACAACATTAGAAAAGTTTAACTATTACCAAAGAATATCAAAGCTCTAAAACTTTCTGAACATTTTTAAAAATAATATTTGAAAATAGTTTTGCTTTCAGGCCACCAAAGAAGGAAAACAAAGTGTCTGGGTTCTAAGATCTAATAGGATTCTAAGATCTATTAAGATCTAAGATCCATGTTAGGATCCTAGGATCCTAATATCTAACTTTACCCTGTGGTAGCCTAATTTTATTTTACCACAGGATGAAATTCGATATTACTAATTAGTTATTACTTATTTTCTAAGGAATTAATATGAATTATTCCAGTTTCTTACTACTACACTAAAAAAAATCACAAGAAAATTGGGGGACTAAAACAACAGTAACTGTTTAACTCTTCTTCCCCGTGTTCCTAGGGGCTGGCTGTTCTCAGTTCAGTGGTTCTCACTCAGTCTTGCTTGTGGTTCCAGGGAAATGGTGTCTGCACCTGGAATGATTTCAAAGGTTTTTTCTCTCACATGTCTCCATGTGACTTGGGCTTCTTCACATCATGACAGTTGAATTTCAGTAACAAGCATCCTAAGGGGACCAAGCAGAAGCCAGAAGGTTTATTCCTATTTAGGACCTAATTTTGGAAATCATAGCATGTCACTTCCTTTCTATTCCAGACATTCAAGAGGATACACAGAGCCCATTCTTTCAATGAGAGGAGTGTAAGCATCATATAAAAACATGGAAGATGGAAGATCTTTTGGCCATTGTCTTGGAAGTGTAATCTGACACATGGATCTTAAATTTCCTTTTATATTTTCCCTTGGTGTGGACACTAAAATATTTACCTAGGCTTATATAATGCATACATCACAATTTTCCCAAAGAAGAATTTTAATACGGGAGTTTTGGATACACACAGGATGTGAACTGCAGACATTTTCCTAAGAGTTTACCTAGTTGTTCAAGGTATGAGAAGGGCAGCTGCCTTTGTATGAGATCCCAACACATATCACTCTTTCTTTCTCTTACCCGTTAAAATGCAGCCTTAGTCTTTTAGTTCCACTGAAATTTTAAGCCGCTTATCACCTCATGGTTTCTGCTTATATTTGTTAATTTATCGACTGGATCTTTGCATAATGTCTTAATCAGCTTGGGCTGCCATAATAAAATACAATAGGCTGGGTGACTTGAATGACAAAAATTTATTTCTCATAGTTGTGGAGGCTGAAATTCTCAGATCAAGGTGCCAGCAAGGTTGGATTCTATTGAGAGTTCTTCTAGCTTGCAGACGGTCACCTTCTAGATATGTACTCACACAGAGAAGAGTGAAAGCAAGCTTATAAGCAAGTAGTGTCTCATAAGGACACTGCTCTCATCAGGAGGACCATCACTCTTTTGATCTCATCTAAACATAATCAGTTTCCAAAGTTTCCATCTTCAAACACCTTCACATGAGCAATTAAGGCTTCAGCATGTGAATTTAGAGGGATGGGACAATTCAGTCCATAGCACATGAGTAATTCCTCATATATTTTCTCTCAGCTCATATATCAAGCCTTCCCTGGCCATCCTGTTCACAATAGTTCTATTCTTCCCGAGGCATTATCATATTACCTATTTCCTTCGGTGCATTTACACTTTTCCCTCCCTTCTTTATATTAGATTCAAGTCCCAGTGAAAGCAGCTTTTTGTGTTCATGCTGGAACAGCGCTTGCTGCAGAGAAGGCTTCAGAAAATGGTCCATGGATGAGTGAATGAATCGATGGCTCACCAGAATAATTCATATATGAGTGCTTTGGCAGCTGTAATTTTGGGGGAGAGGTTATCTTTCTTAAATGGTCATAAATCAAACCAACTTCAGCTTTCACGCATTCATTCCTATTCTGTTATTCTGAGGCCACAAGGAAAGTCATTAATTCTTTGACATAATAGACTGCACTTCAAAAATTTATAAACAGCTATTCTGTCCCATTTATATTTTCAATTTAAAGGTTGTGTGTGCTTACAAACACATTTAATATGACAGGTTTCTAATCCTCTTGTCATCACTGACACTTACCTCAGGAAGTTTTCAGTTTTCAAATGACCCTTTGAAAGTGTGTGGTCCCAGTAGAATATAACACTCTAGGTAATGCCTCACTAAGCTGAGGATATAATAGGACATCACTTCCCTGGTTAGGGGCTGTTTTTTTATTAATGCAGAATAAAATATTTTGCCTTTTCTGAGGAAACATGATTCACAAACAATCTAATGGATATTTCCATTTTTAATTGTGTCTATTTTGCCAAAGCTAAAATCAGTTTTGCCAAGTGTCAAATATCAAGAATTTTAGAGCCTTTTAAACTGACATTTAAAAACCAAGAAAACAAAAAAAAAGTTGTTCTAAATAGGTTAAGATTCCAAAATAAATTCAGAGGATTGACACAAAATGAGATCCTGCTGTTTTCACAAGCGAGATCAAAAGAAGCTTCCAAATAATTCATGAGACTTCTGATTTAATGCCATATGGCTGGCATCTTTGCAATAATCAGCTTGAACTTCCTATTTAAAAAATGATAAAGACCTTCAACGGAAGAAATGAAAACAACAGAACCTAAAATTGATTCACAACCAATGGTTAGAATCTGTTAAATTTGTAACAATTATTTCCCTTTTGGGTTGGATTAAGACTACCTTTGTTTCGTTCCGTATGTCCTACTCATATTTAGACTCTAAATTCTGTAATGTCTAGAACTTTGTTAAGAATATCACCACAGTAGTCAGATACACTGGGTTCAAATCACAGGGTCAACCTTGTTGATTTTAAGGCAAGTTATTTAGCATTTTCATGCCTCAGTTTTCTCATTTGTAAAATAAGAGTATTAATAGCATCAAATCAGAAATACATAGAATGTACTTAAAATAATGTGCCATATTACTCAGTAAGTATAAAACAGGTATTCAATAAAAGTAAGCAATTGATGGTGAGGTTATTATTATAGAATAGAATATTTTAGTTTGCTTGAAGACATTTAGAGATATAGAATCCCTTCACCAATGGCTTCCCTATTGGCTAAGAAATTCACATTTTAGTACCAAAATTTTGTAGTTCTGTTGCTCTATGGAAAAAATTTACCTTTGGAGGTATCTGGGTCACCATCACCGCCGTCACCACCTCCACTACTCTTGTGCCTCAACCCACTGATCTCTCCACTAGACCCTGGCCAATTCAGCTCCTTTCTGCATACAGCAAGCATAAGCATCAACTGAAGTAAGTTAGAGTCTTAGAACCTCAGGTCCTATCCTACATGAATTCTGAATCTGCCTTTTAATAAGACCCCAAGTTTATTCATATATTTATCAATATATAAGAATCTCTGCTCTATATTTATCCAGAGTCTGCAGCTTCTGGCAAAAGACTGTTCAAAACAGCAATTCTGAGAGTATGAAATAGTACCTTACACACTGAAAATTTTTAGAGTCCATTAATAAATCCAGATGCTCAGGTATAGAACCAAAAGCAAACAAGTATTCTGAGATTTAAAGTTGTATCTACTTTATTTGTACATACTTGGGTATTACATAAAGGAAGATAGAAATAATTGATTGTACAGCGTTTCTTGCTGGAATATATCAATTGCCCTTCAGCTCCAGATCTGCAAGAAGATTTGAACAGCATCCAGTTAGATAGTAAACAGAGAAAGGACTTTGACAAGTACTGTTTGTATTAAAGAAAACACTTGGATAAATTTTTCACAACAAATACAACACTTAAAAAATATTAATAATTGGAAAAGAGCCCAGTGCACAGGAGACACCGGATAAATATACGTTGAAGTCAACCAAAAAGTGAAAAGAGAAAATTACAAAGAACAGACAATCCTTCAGATTTTAAGAAGTTCTGTTTTATGGCAAAAACAGGTAACTACAAGATGATGCCCTAAGTGCAGGATCAGAGTATGTAAAGGGCATATGAGAAAGCCTGCATGTATCTCTCCCAACTTGAGTGCATATGGGCATAAGAGGGATGTCTGTAAATGAGGACATTTCTCCTGAATTTACAAGGCATGATTGCTGCTTATGGGGATAGAAGGGAAGGTAATGACATTCCAGAAAAATTGATGTAGGCTTTCCTGTGAGTCATGTATGATCAGCCAGCAGCAGGAGATGTCTTGGGAGAAATATCAAAATTCACAGCATGGAGGTTCTTGCATGAGGAGCTTGTGTATGGTGGAGTGGGGTGGAAGTAATTGCAGAGGAGATTTTGAAGTGTTTCAAGGAGAAAAATACTAAGACCAGGTCTTAGTTTCATATAATAATTATATATAATAGCATTGTATGCTGATAATGCTATATATATATATATATTTATAACTAATAAAACAAAAGCCTATGCATTAAGAGCTCAATTATTCTCATTTCAAAGATGAGAAAGTATAAGCTTAGAAAAGTTCTTTTTTTCAAAATTATGCATAATAGAGCCTTGCACATGGTAAATGCTGGATATATTTCTTGTTAAAAGCAAACACACAAAAAATAACAACAAAATAATAGGCTTTACCATAGTCGGAACATTCAGCAGGACTCTAGTTTGGTCTATTTTTTTAATGCCCTTAATGAATAAAAAGATCTGATCAGTGAAAATGAGTTTCCTTGTATCTTTTGCCTCTAACTTCATGATGGCCCACCTTCAGCTCTCTGGAGAAGGAAAAGCAGACATTTCTAGGGGAAGTAATAAATGGCCTCAGGTGATCTAGGCAGCCGTGTAAAGAGAGGGATCGGGAGGTTATTAATTCATGGTGCAGACAGGAATCTTGGCCTGGCTGTCCTGGTGATTTGGTCCTCAGGGTAAAAATATGATATAACAGCACTGCACATCTTCGTCTTCAAATTAACTATCTTCTTGGTCACACTTCTCCAGTACAAACTGGTTGATCTTCATGTCTGGTGTGAAGGCTCAGCCTGGTATCTCAATTCATCATCCTCTTGGGAATTTCACTCATCTTTCTGTTATTTTTTATTTTTCAGGTTATGTAATTTATGTTTCTTTCTTGGTTTACTGTCTTACTTGAGGTACACATCTTCCAATAACATATTTAAAACTGTTCCTTGGGAGAAAAATGTATGGCGATCTTAAATGTCTGAAAATATTTGTATTCTACCGTTATACCTAATTTTCTGAGTATAACATTTTCAGGTAGGTAATTATTTTCCATCAGAGTCTTTTAGCTATTGCCTCATTGCATTTTTTTGTTGCTTCCAGAGATGCTATTGAGAAATTTCAAGCCATTCTGAGAGCTGATCTTTTATCTGATATTAATCTTCTATATTTTCTCTAGAAGATTTTGATTCTTCTCATTGTTCATAGTGCTCTGATAGTCCACAAACATGTGCTTTTGAATGTAACTTGGTATGAATTTATTTTCATAGAAAGTGGTAATCACTTAGAGTGGTATCTTTTAATCTGAAAATGGTCATTCTTTGGTTCTAAAAAAATTGCTTATAATTTTCTCCACTCTATTTTCTCTGTAAACTCTTTTTTTGGAAGAGGATTTTATACTGCAATCTTCTAATTTAATTACCTTTATCTCAAATCTTCTTTGTGTTCAATTTTTTTAATTCATCAACTTTATTATTAACTTTTATTGCATGTTCTTTTTATTATCATCTTTTAAATTCCATGAGTTCATTTTAATTCTAATTTTATGTATTGTGATGTCAGGGTTGCTGTATCTTTTTGTACAATTCTGAAGACATTAAAATAGTTTTTAATGTCTGCATAATTTGTTTCCACTAATTGGCTTGTTTTCTATTTATTTTGTTCTTTGTCATTCAGATTAGAAGATTTCTTTAGATATCTGATAACTTTTTATTGTCAGTTTATATGTAAGAGTAAAAACATTTAAAAAAAACAAAACCTTGACCTCAAATTTTGAACCTAGGATTAAGTATAGTGAACTTGGAATTCACTACAGGCTGATCTGCGTGGGTGATTATTGGATGATTTCTCATTCCAGCATATTTGAGTCTTTCTTCTTGACAAACCAAATTTTTCACAGAAAAGGGCTCCAATCTCCTGTTCAGAGTTACGTCTACCTTCTAGAGTTTTGAAAGAATAGGGAGGTAGGAGTGTAAGGTAGAAGGAGTATGAAGTTTCAACATTCAACACCCAATTTTCTCCTTTTTAATAATACCTATATATTCAATTATTCAAAGGATCTTCCAGACTCAAAACAATGTTTTACCCTCGCCAACAGTATTGATTAGGGTAGCAGAGGTTAGCTTATAAGGACTTCTCACACTTTTTCTCACCCATTTATCCTTATTGAGTGGTATCCCTTCAGGTAAGACATCAGGTGAGGCTTGGATGTCTTGTTTTTCTTATTAAAACTACACCTCTGAATACCTAATCCATTACTGTTCATAGTAATAATAGGTCCTCTTAGGGTTTACATTTAGTAGAAAAAGTATGTTTAGTTAATAAAAGTGCATTAATATGTATGCATATGTTTGTAATAATTTTACAATTATACTACTTAATTTTCTTTTTTACTTTAGAGCAATCTCATAAATTAGAACATATATTATGAAAAAATAAATATACAAAAAGCAATGCATCTCAAAAGCTATGACAAGAAGTAATAGATATTTAGAGATATGTGAACTAATACAACTAGAACTCTCAAAGATATTTAGAGACATGTGGACTAATGCAGTTATAACTATCAAAGATGCTAAGACAAAATCACATCCGTAAGCCGTAAAAACAATACCTCTGCTAATACCGACATCTCCTCTGTTGTTAACACAGTGAATTTCAGAGTGAATTGTGTACATTGTCATAGAATGTACATGTAAAATAACAAATAGTTAATATTACAAACAATGTGTAAATTACAGGACATTTGTACTTTAAGGAGTTCTTAATTTATGAAGCAAACTATAAACGCAGTTGCATAGAGGATAATTTTTGGTAAAATACATTGAAAGCTAAATTGTACTGAGTTTCAAGGACCCCAAATGCTAATAAAACAGAAGATAATTATATTAATTAGTAGATGTGACGGAAAATGTTCTCCTACAAGAAATACTTGTAACATAGGACAAAGGGGCAGGTCAGTAAGGAGTGAAATTAATTGAGATTGCAGATCTCTCTACATATTTCAGAGAGATAGGCATTTTAAACTGGGTCATGAAATGGATTGGATGCTAAAAGCAAATCTGAGATAAATGAGAAGGCAAGCATGAGATTTAGGGTAATATGAATTCAGAAGCTCCTGCACAGTTTAGAAAATGGGAAGTTAAGATTCGTTCATGTTACTTCAGAGCAAACAAAATGTGAATTTAAAAGGAATAAGTGTCAAGATAAAAAGCACAGATTTCATAGTACAGGAAATAGTTGGTCATGGGCATATTTAGATATAAAATGAGTGAAGGTTAGCTGTTTGTTTTTTTTTTTTCTAAATGAAGACACTAAGGAAAAGTTGATAGATTTTCAAACATATGCAAATGAGATCAGAAACCTGTTTGCACATGTTCCAGATTAAGAAGAAATTTTGAGTTTGAAATATCTAAACAGCATATAACACTATTTTAATGAACTATTAGGGCCATCTTAAATTTTACCAGGCGTATGGAATCAATTAGACATGATTTTTGTAACTAATTTATGTATCAAAGTAAATTGTCTAGTACATTAAGACTAACTATCAGAGCAGCTATGATAAAACCACAGCAACAAAGCAATTGAACTTCCACAGTGTTAGTAAAAGATTTGGGGATATAATTGCTTGAAACCTGAATGAATTTGTTGAGAGTTAAAAAATGGTTAATATTAGTGGTTTGAAAAGATGATGAATTGGACTACAGAAAAATTATACTCCGACATTAAAAATATATTACTATATACCTACATTTTCCTCTTTTCCTTCAGCTTCTCAGTTTACTCCTATCTTTGGGTTGTCTTTATTTTCTAGGAGGTTTTCTATAAATGTTGGAATATACATCTACTTTCAGAATCAAACCTTGTCTTTATGATTCATGTTCAAATGAATGCTAAAAATAAAAACAACAAAAATGACAAATACCACCACATGAATTATTAATTAAAGAGTAATAAATTCCTGTCCTCTTTTCTTAAGAGAACCCAGTTCTCTCCCCTACTTTCACCACTGGAAAGTGGTAGAAGCAGTTGGTAGGAAATATTCCACCAGCAGTTCAAAGAACCAATATTTAGTGAATACCAACAATGAGCCAGAATACTCTGCTACAGACACATTAGCAACAAGGAGAGAAAAATTTCTGTTCTCAAGGAGCTTATATTCTAAAGAAACAAAGTAAGTATGAATAATAAGCATATAAGTAAGTACATTATATAATATTTTAGAAGGTGATGCATACTTAGCCAAAAATGATAGAGTATAATAAAATAAAAGAGATTGGGAGTGCTGAGATTTAGGGTATTGGGGGTTGCTACTTTAAGTATGGTTCTTAGGGTAGTACTCACTGAGAAGGTGATACTAGAGCAAGCCTTACGTGGAATGTGGGGCTTATCATGCAGATTTATCTAGGAGAGTGGCATTCCCTGCCAGGGCTAATATAGGAAACTCTCTGACATTTTAGAGAAGGTGCAGGAAGGCTAGTGTGGTTAAAATTGGAGGGTGAGGAGATGAGGTCAGAAATTGTAAACCATTTGTGGTCTTGACTTTTATTCCGAATGAAATATGAGGACTTTGGAAGGTTTTGAGCAAAGGAATGACATAATCCAACTTATAGTTTGAAAGGATCACTTTGGCCACTCTGTTGAGACTAAATTTCAGATAGACTGAGAAGTAAGAAGTAAAGCATGGAGATCAGTTAGAGGACTTGGAGTAATTCAGGTGTGAACTGATGATATTTAGGATGGAGACAAAGTCATGTCTCACTTAATGATGGATATCTGTTCTGAGCAATGTGTCATTAGGTTATTTCATTGTGCCATTAGGTTATTTCATTGTGCCATTAGGTTATTTCATTGTGCCAATATCATATAGTTACACAAACCTAGATGAGATGGCCTACTGTATGTCTGGGCTACAAGGTACAGCCTATTGCTCCTAGGCTACAAACCTGTACACCATGTGACTGTTCTGAATATTGCAGGCAATTGGAACACAATGGTATTTGTTTGTATAAACATATCTAAACATAGAAAAGATACAGTAAAAATACAGTATTAAAAGCTTATGAAACCACTGTCATAAATGTGGTCTGTCATTGACAGCAGTTATTACGCAGCTCATGACTGTAGCTACAGAGCCTCTGGTCCTTAAAGAGACACTGCACAAGCAAAGAACACGTCCACCAGAGCAATCTGGGTTCCATTTTCTATTACATTTTAATGATGCTTAATGAAGAGAGCAATGCAGTAATGCTGTATTTTATCCCCCAAAATAAAAGAGGTAATTATATTGTAACTAGTTATTAATAATGTGGATAGTCATGGATATAACATTTTATATATTTTATAGGGCTTTTCTCTATCATTTATTTATATAATCATGTTCTCCCATTATTCTATGAGGTAGAGAATCCTGGTATTTTAACCACCTTTTATAAATAGAGAAATTAATGACAACTATAATTATATGCTTTCCCCAACTCATAAGACCCTCAAGAATTCCAAGTGGAAAGCAACATAGAAAATGCACACATTTGATCCTGCTATTTTCTCTGAAATATTGTTTTTCTATTTAACCATCAATCACTTTTTATGAAATCATTTTATGCAATTGTGTCTATTTTCTTTCTCCTGATTCCTTTTAACACCTGGGGATTCTGCCCTTGATGTTATGACTGTTCTTTAAAAGACAACTCCTTTGATTAGGGATCCTCCATAATTCCTTTAATTCTTCTATTTCTTCCCCCGTTATGGAATTTAGATGGTGAATCTTCTTCCTTTTTTCTTTCTTTTTTTTTTTTTTTTTTTTTTTGCCTTAAACTCTCTCATTGTCTTCTCTCTTGGCTCTGCTTTTATCTTCTTACAGATCATTGGTTCCCCCAATCTTCTTTTTTTCCCCTCTCTTTTTCAGTGAAAAGCTTTCTAACTTTGGGTAACGTAGGAAGCTGAATTTCAGATTTCCCATTATAAATTAGTGCCCCATATTTCATATAATTTTAATCACGACATCTGTAACATCCAAGTCTAATTCACTTATATGCATACAACTATCTTTAGGAGATTTTTATTCGAATGTTTCATCACAACCTCAGAAATTTTAACAGTAATTTTATAGGATGCTCTCAAAATTTACTACTTTTCCAATTTCTGGTGTTGACATTACTCATCTCCTTCTTGCTCCTGGCTTCAAAATGTTGATGTTATCTTTAACTCTAACAGGTTATTCAATTACTTCTATTTATTTTTACTTCCAAAGGGCTCTCAGAGTAAAACATTCTCTTTTATTTTTATTTCCATCAACCAAGACCTGGCACTCATTAATCCACACTTGATTGACTTCAACAATATCATTGCCAATTTACTGACTTCTAGAAGATTTTGTATATGCGGCTTTATAATACCTATTTGCATGCTGTATTTAGAAATGCTAAGATGACTTTTTCCTGCTATAGCATCAAGTCTGAATAGTTTTGGTTCTCAGTTTTATAGATTACTTGACATAAATTTACTTCTCAAAATTTATTTTACAATTCCCTATAATTTTTTTGATTTGGTCAGAAGAGAGCAATGAACAACTAATGTTTGTAAAATGCCAAGTATATTCTAGCTATACGAGACACTAAAGAAAACCATAATTGAAAGATTTTAGCTGGGCGTGGTGACTCACGCCTGTAATCCCAGAACTTTGGGAGGCCGAGGCGGGCGGATCACGAGGTCAGGAGATCGAGACCATCCTGGCTAACACGGTGAAACCCCGTCTCCACTAAAAAATACAAAAAATTAGCGGGGCGTGGTGGCAGGCAGCTGTAGTCCCAGCTACTCGGGAGGCTGAGGCAAGAGAATGGCGTGAACCTGGGAGGCGGAGCTTGCAGTGAGCCGAGATCGCGCCACTGCACTCCAGCCTGGGCGACAGAGTGAGACTCCGTCTCATAAAAAAAAAAAAAAAAAAAAAAAGATTTTAAAAAGAGAACATAGTACATGGTATAGTCCCTTCACAGATGTCTTTGAATAAGCTGATATGGTGATATGACATGTTTTACAAGAAGTAGGAAAACTTATCCTGAAAGTGAAATCAGGTGGCAAATGTTGGCACAGTTAGTTAACTTGTTATGCTTCCTGTAACATGGATGAATGATTTAGAGACATGGGTAAGCAATACAGGCACATTTTCTCTTATTTAGCTTTCATATCTTTAAAATTGAAGACTGAAATAATATTCATAAGCCTACAACCTGAGACTGAGCTAACATTGAAGAAATAGGCCCAAAAGAGAACTCTTGGTCATGTACAAGATCAGTGCTCCAGTTCCATTTGGAGAAGTTGTTAGAAGCTTTCCATAGAAGCTGGTGCATTTCAGGAATTTAATGTGCATTAATGATTTAATGAGGGTGGTAATGAAGTTTTTCATTCTTGTCAAGGAAAAAACTAGAAGGAAAAAGAAATGTCAATAGCTTTTTATCTTTTTACCTCCCAATAATTGGTATATTGTTTTTGGTATTTCCTTTTAAGCTCATTTCCGGATAAAACTAAATAACAAATATGTGTGTGATGTGCACTGAGTAGGTGTACATGTGTTTAATAGAATGTTTTTCTTCACTGTTGAAAGTGGTGTTTGAGTCTCCTATTATATTGTTGTTTATTTCTTCCTTTAGTTCTGCCAATGTTTGTATTATATTCTTAGGTGTTATAATGTTGGGTCCAAATATATTTTTTAATTGTTACATGTTCCTGGTGAATCAGCCCTTTTTTCATTATATACTTCCTTATTTGTCTTTTGTGACAGCTTTTTACTTAAAGTCTATTTTGTCTGATACAGTAATAGCCACTTCTGCTCTTTTTTTTAGTTACCATTTGCATGGACTGTCTTTTTTAATCCCTTTGCTTTCAGTCTATGAGTATCTTTAAACCTAAGAGGATTTTTTTGTAGACAACATTACATAGTTGTTTTTTTTTCTTTTATATTCTCATTCTGACATTATTTTTTGTCTTTCGATTGAGGAGTTTAATCTCTTCACATTTAAAGTAACTATTGATAAGGAAAGATTTACTATTGCCATTTTGTTAATAGTTTTATGTTAATCTTGTAGTTGGCCATCTTTTCCTTTCTTGCTGTTTTCCTTTGTATTGGCTGATGTTTTATACTGATATGCTTTGATGTCTTTCTTTTTTATTTTGTATATCTTCTATACATATTTTATTTCTCGTTATCATGAAACTCAAAATATATTTATAAAAGCCTATTTTAAGCTGATAACAACTTAAGATTCATCACATACCGAAGACAGTCTTACTTATCTTCCTCACCCTACTTTACACTATTTTTGTAGTTTCCATCTATTTATTTTGTATATGTAGTATCATATTTATTGTTAAAGTTTTAAAAAAATTTGTCTTTTAACTTTTGTACAATGATTAAAAGTAATTTACCATTATATTATTCTATATACAGAACCTATACATTTGTCTTTACTAATGAATATTAGTAAGAAATACGATACTCATTTAAAAAGTAAATATATAGAAAATATTTTATGCTACCACCTTGCCGTATATCATCCTTTCATTTTAACATGAAAAAATCCCTTTAGTATTTCTTGTAAGGCATGTCTAGTGATAATCAACTTTCTTCACTTTTGTTTGTCTGGCAAATACTTTTTCTCTCCTTCATTTTCAAAAGACAGTTTTGCCTGATATAGTATTATTGATTAGCAGTTTTACGTTTTCTGTCAGCACTTCAAATACATAATCTATTCCTTTCTAGTGTGAAATATTCTTTCTGAGAAATCTGTTGATAGTCTTACAGAGATTACTTGGTGCATGACAAATCATTTCTTTCTTGCTGCTTTAAAATTCATCTTTTGACTTTTGACAATTTGATTATAATGTATCTTTATGTGCATTTATTTGGGTTCATTTGATTTTGCAATTTTTAGGTCTAGATGTCTATTTTCTTCTCCAGATTTGGGAAGTTTTCAGTCATTATTTATTTAAATTATCTGTCTGTTTCTTTCTTGCTTCCTTCTCCTGAAAATCCTATAATGTTAACTTGATCATGCCCCATAAGTTACTTAAGTTTTCTTCTTTTTAATTTTTTTTTTACCTGTTGCTCTTTTGACCGAATAATTTCAAATGACCTAGCTTTGTGTTCACTGATCCTTTATTTGCTTGATATAATCTGCTCTTGAATCTTTCAGGTGATTTTTGTAGTTCATTTATTGTATTCTTCACCTCTATTATTTGTTTGCTCCTTTATTTGTTTATTATTATTATTATTATTGTTTGGAGACAGAGTATCACTCTGGTACCCAGGCTGAAATTCAGTGACAAGATCTCAGTTCACTGTGAGCTTTGCCTCCTGGTTTCAAGCAATTCTCCTGCCTCAGCCTCCTGAGTACATGGAATCACAGATGTGCACCACCAAGCCCAGGTAATTTTTGTATTTTTAGTAGATACTGGGTTTCACTATTATAGCCAGGCTGATCTTGAACTCGATGTTGGCAATGCTGGTCTGGCCTCAAGTGACCAGCCTACTGTGGTCTTCCAAAGCAATGGTATTGCATGTCTGAGCCACCGCACTGGCCCTGCTTGTTCCTTTAAAAAAAATGTTTTCTATCTCTTTGTTGAAATTCTGAATTTGTTCATGTATTGTTTTCCTGACATCACTGAGCGTCTTTATTACTGTTAATTTGAATTCTTTGCCAGGTAAATTGTACATCTCCATTTCATTGGGGTTGGTGTCAGGAGATTTACCTTGCTTTTTTACTCGAAGCATATTAGCCTATTTCTTCATCTTCATTGATTTTTTGTGTTGGTGTCTCTACATTAGACAAAGAAGCCACATATCCCAATCTTGATGGACTGGTCTTGTATAGGTGAAGACTCCTATCAATCAGCCCAGCCAGAGATTCTGAGGGCCTCTCAAATCTCTGTCCTACTCCAATCCCATTTCGTTGTTCTTTGCAGGCCCTAGGTGTACAGGGTAAGCTAGGTCCTATCTGTACAATGGGATAGTAAGATAAAAGCAAGTTCCTTAGGCAGCTACCAGAAATTTTGGATCATTGGATGCACCATTCAACTCTTCACTTGCCCAGAGAGAAGCTGAGAGCTGGGTTTTTTTTTTATTCTCTTTGTGCTGATCCTAGGGGGAGAAGTTGTGGTGAATGATAGCTCACACCTCATTTCTGTTCTACCCCAGGCAGCTAGTTAATGCCAGATTCATCAGTACTCTTTGATAGGCAGGATATAAGCCAGTTCTTTGGGTCCCTCTGGAGGAGCTGGGGCATTGGACACATGGACCTACTCTCCTCCCCAGGGGAGAAGCTGGAAGCTAGGAATATTCTTCCATTTACTCTGTGCTGAGCTGGGAGGAAGAGCTATGGTGACTGCCAGCACAAGCCACCATCTATTTTTTCTTCAATGTGGCTTGACTGTGCTGGTCTCATCAGCATTCCAAGCCTCACAAAACAAAAGCCAGTCCTCCAGGAAGCTTCCTGCAAGAATCTATGGCATTGGATGTATGGACCAACTCTTTCCCTCCCCTGAGAGAAGCTGGGAATGAGGGGATGTCTTTCCAATTTTATGATTCTATGCTTGGGACAGTGATTCCAGTGAAAGGGTGTTCGTAGTCTCCCCACTGGCTTTGATAAATCTGGTCCTGTTCAGCTGGGGAAAGAGCCTTTCAATTATCTTCAGGATTTCTTAGGAAAACATTTCTGTGTTCATTGCTGAATCAGTGTAGTGGTGGAGGAAAGGATGTTCCAGGTTTGCCCCCACCACTTGTTCCCAACTTCACTCCCACTTTTGGACTTCTTAGGTCTAGAAACTGTGTTCTATTTATTAAATGTATTCTATAGTGTTTGTAAATAAAAAAAGTGAAGATATTGACTCTGAAATGGTATATCTACAACTTTTCACAATTGATCTTCTCATGAAAATATTAGCAAAATCATGTAGTTACTTTGTTCATGTGTGCATATGAGTGTTTTCACTGTAAAATATAGTGTGAATATTTTTTACATGTTATGCTATGATCTAAATGGTTGTGCCTTCTAAAAATACAGGTACTGAAACTTAATCTCCAGTTCCATCATACTGGGAGATAAGGGATGTGGGAGGGATAAGGGATAAGGTAATGGAATCAGTGTCCTTATAAAAGATGTTGGAGAGAGCTTGTTTGTTGCTTCCACCATGAGAGGACACAGCAATGAGGCACCATCTTTAAAATGGAGGGTAGACCCTCATTTACTGCTGGATCTGCTGTCACCTTGAACTTGGACTTTCCAACCTTCATAACTGTGAGCAATAAATTTTTGTTGCTTATAAATTATCTAGTCTAAGGCATTTTCTTACAGAAGCTTGAAAAGACTAATACATGTTCTATTATCAACACCAAATAATGCACAATAATGGTAAATAATTGATTTTATATCAGGGTTTTAAAAATATTAGTAAGATTACTAAAAACAAGCATCCTTTGTTTATGTTTCAAATGTGTAATTTCATAATATAAAATGTTCTAACTTCAATTTAAGTACATTACATCTGTAGAGATATACATTAAACATTTTAATATGTAAGTTAGATGAACTAAAACAGTCAATGCTGAATAGACCTTCTTTCAAATACATATTAGGCTAAGTTTACTCCCTGATGTGTATTCTAACAAGAAAAAGGAAATATTTGATGGATTGTAAAGATACGTTAATATGCTTTAACATTTGCCTAACAGAATTTGATTAGGAAGAACAAGCCATTTTGTTTCTAACTCTTATAGCCTAAAGCTTGCTATAAATACATGTGTACTACTCATCCAGGGAAACTAACAAAATTAATTGTTGACATTGTGGGAAGTCACAACATTGTAAGATTGTATAGACTGCAATTTATAAGATAAAGTAGGGCATACTTGTTTTGTTTTACTTGCCCTGCAGTGGAAAATAATTTATAGGCAGTATTCAATAATATATTTATTAATAATCAACAGAAGAGATGAGTAGCACACAAAATCTGAGAATGCTATAATTTTTGAAAAATAAGACTAGGAAAGTCAGAGAATTCTATTAGTAAAACTAAAAAGGCAATAAACTATTAGCAAAGGTTAAATTAAACTTTAAAATTGTAGAGTGAAAAAAATCACAATATACTTGTTCATCGTCAGGTTCAAGTCAACATGAAAATCAATGCTTATAACTTCATAACTATTATTTAAAAATTCAAAAGACTCAATTAATTGAACAAGGCTGGTTTTTTTCTTTCCTTTTTTTTTTCATTTAGCTAAATCTATTTTCTTATTCCACAGGTTTATTTGCTTTTCCTTCTCTCTTCTACTTCTACATATGCACATTTCTATTTTCAGTCTGCATTCAGGATTTGAACTTTGTTTCTACTTCATTACTTCCTCTATCTCCCTTAGCTAAGATAAACCAACTAATTTTCTTCCTCTTTTTTTCTTCCAATTTAGATCTGTTCCCAGAAATAGCAATTGTCTGATGAGATTATGAAAGAGTAGAATAGAATAGAATATCTATTTTCCTATTGGAAATGTCAAGTAGAATATATATAAGTGCATGCCACATAATAGATATATATTAAATGTAGATTACAGGCTATTTAAAATTTGCACATGGAGGAACTCTATCTAGAGCCTCTGTGCTACACATATGTTCACGTTTCTCCTCTTTAAGGTTTCAAACTCCAAATTTTAGGTTTAAATGTAATGTTAATTAAAGACACTTTTATTCTCTATCTTTTGATATTAACACATAAATAGACACACATATATAAATACACTCTTATTTATTTATTTATTTATTTATTTATTTATTTATTTTAGTATTTATTGATCATTCTTGGGTGTTTCTCGGAGAGGGGGATTTGGCAGGGTCATAGGACAATAGTGAAAGGGAGGTCAGCAGATAAACATGTGAACAAGGGTCTCTGGTTTTCCTAGGCAGAGGACCCTGAGGCCTTCCACTGTGTTTGTGTCCCTGGGTACTTGAGATTAGGGAGTGGTGATGACTCTTAAGGAGCATGCTGCCTTCAAGCATCTGCTTAACAAAGCACATCTTGCACCGCCCTTAATCCATTTAACCCTGAGTGGACACAGCACATGTTTCAGAGAGCACGGAGTTGGGGGTAAGGTTATAGATTAACAGCATCCCAAGGCAGAAGAATTTTTCTTAGTACAGAACAAAATGGAGTCTCCTATGTCTACTTCTTTCTACACAGACACCGGTAACAATCTGATTTCTCTTTCTTTTCCCCACATTTCCCACCTTTTCTATTCGACAAAACCGCCATCATCATCATGGCCCGTTCTCAATCAGCTGTTGGGTACACCTCCCAGACGGGGTGGCGGCGGGGCAGAGGGGCTCCTCACTTCCCAGATGGGGCGGCCGGGCAGGGGCTGCCCCCCACCTCCCTCCCGGACGCGGCGGCTGGCCGGGCGGAGATGCTCCTCACTTCCCAGATGGGGCGACTCCCGGGCAGAGGGGCTCCTCACTTCTCAGACGGGGCGGCCGGGCAGAGACCTTCCTCACCTCCTAGACGGGGTGGCGGTTGGGCAGAGACACTCCTCAGTTCCCAGACGGGGTCGCGGCTGGGCAGAGGCGCTCCTCACATGCCAGACGGGGCGGCCGGGAAGAGGCGCTCCTCACTTCCCAGACTGGGCGGCCGGGCAGAGGGGCTCCTCACATCCCTGACGATGGGCGGCCAGGCAGAGACGCTCCTCACTTCCCAGACGGGGTGGCGGCCGGGCAGAGGCTGCAATCTTGGCACTTTGGGAGGCCAAGGCAGGCGGCTGGGAGGTGGAGGTTGTAGCGAGCGGAGATCACGCCACTGCACTCCAGCCTGGGCGACATTGAGCACTGAGTGAGCGAGACTCTGTCTGCAATCCCGGCACCTCAGGAGACCAAGGCGGGCAGATCACTGGCGGTCAGGAGCCAGAGACCAGTCCGGCCAACACGGCGAAACCCCGTCTCCACCAAAAAATACAAAAACCAGTCAGGCGTGGCGGCGCGCGCCTGCAATCCCAGGCACTCGGCAGGCTGAGGCAGGAGAATCAAGTAGGGAGGTTGCAGTGAGCCGAGGTGGCGGCAGCACAGTCCAGCCTCGGCTCGGCATCAGAGGGAGACCGTGGAGAGAGAGGGAGAGGGAGAGGGAGAGGGAGAGGGAGAGGGAGACCGTGGAGAGGGAGAGGGAGAGGGAGACCGTGGAGAGGGAGAGGGAGAGGGAGACCGTGGAGAGGGAGAGGTAGAGGTGGAGGTGGAGGTGGAGGTGGAGGTGGAGGTAGAGGTAGAGGTAGAGGTAGAGGTACTCTTTTTTATTTCAATGCGTTTTTGGGAAATGGGTGGTGTTTTGTTACATGAATAAGTTTTTAGTGGTGATTTCTGAGATTTTGGTGCACCCATCACCTGAGCAGTGTATGCTGCACCAAATCTGTAGTCTTTTATCCCCTCACCGTTCCCTACAAGTCTCCAAATTTCATTGTATCATTCTTATGCCTTTGCATCGTCATAACTTAGCTACCACTTGTAAGTGAGAACATACTATTTCTCACTTACATTTTAGTTTCCATTCCTGAGTTACTTCACTTAGAATAATGCTCTCTAATTTCATTCAGTTTTCTGCAAATACCATCATTTTATTCCTTTTTATGGCTGAGTAGCATTCCATGGTGTGTATGTATATGTATACACTATATACATAAAATGCAACTCTAAAAATTGCATTGTGGTTAAGAGTTTCTTCTTCTCTGTAAAATAGAGTCGTTTGCATTACGTCAGCATTACAACCAAAGAAAACTAGAACATTAATCAAATAGAGAAATTATCTCTTTGAAGGTATCAGAGATCTGCAGTGGCAATGAGAGCTGAAGGAGCTGAAATTCCAGAGATGAAAGAACTTCAGAGAGGAGAGCTGACATCTATCTGCATTCACTTTTCTTCTGGAGGATGTGTTAACTTTGAGCAAGAATACATGTTTCAGAACTGGGCTTTTGTATTACAGAACTAGCGGCAATGAAGAGCAAGTTTTGGTGGGAACTTGAGAACCAGCATGCCGGCTATACGCCATTCTGAAATTTTACAGGTCAGCAATATAAAATTACGCAGGATTCTCTCAATTTTGTGAAAATACTGAGAGAACTCTAAAACAGAGATATTTTAGAATTAGGGACTGACTGGGGAGGAGCTCTGCCTAGACACTATACCCAGTGTTTAAAAAATAGGTGATGAAAGTAGAAATCAAATGTAGACAATTTCCTGGGTCTTCAATCTGCATTGACTGAGCACAGTCCCTATTTAGATTAAGGTGATTAACTTTCATTTTCCTGATATGGTTTGGCTGTGTCCTGACCAAAAGCTCACCTTGATTGTCATAATCTTCACCTGTCAAAGGCAGGGTCAGGTGAACATAATTGAATCATGGAGGTGGTTTCTCCTGTAATGCTCTCGTGGTAGTGAATAAGTCTCACGAGATCTGATGGTTTTATAAATGGGAGTTCCCCTACACAAGCTCTTTTGCCTGCCGCCGTGATTGTGAGGCCTCCTCAGCCATGTAGAACTGTGAGTCTATTAAATCTCTTTCCTTTATAAATTACCCAGTCTAGGGTATTTATTAGTTATGTGAGAATGGACTAATACACTCCTTACCCAGCAGAGGGAAGGATATATCATCTCTCAGGAATGTAACATCATTTGGAGACTTTAAAAAACACACTATTTATCATTAGAACAAAATTATTAAGCACATCCAAACTATTATGACCAAAATAAAGAGAAAAGCACTGTGAACTCAGATCTGCAGTGATTGCTTTGAAATTAGCTGACAAGGACTTGAAAATAGCACAGAACACTGACATCTTTGAAAAGGAATCAATTAGAAAGAAGCAGTCAAGCTAACCAGGAAATAGACCAAAAGTTTTAATATGAACTTCATAAAACACGGTTTTAAAATGGTCAATAAACATATGAAAACCTGTCAATTGCATTCTCACTAAAAAAAATGCAAATTGAAACCACAAGATGCTATCACTGCACACCCACCATAATGAGCATAAAGAAAAAAAAACAGAAAATAACAAGTACTGTTATGCATTTGGAGCAACTGACATAAATTGGCACATTCACATTAAAAATTATTTGGCAGTATCTTATAAAGTAGATTCATTTTGATCCGGAAACTCACCCTGTGCTATACATCTAACACATGTATTCAATAAATGGTGCATACAAGATGTTCAAAATAGTTCTATTCACAATATTCAAAAATTTGAAACAACACACTATGCTTATTTACTCTAGAACTGGTAGAGTATATAATGCATACAATCAAGCAATAGGCATAAGTGAATAAAAACTAGACAATTACTTTGAAGAATTTCTCAAAACTAACTTTGAGCAAAGTCAGCCAGATATAAATATTACATACATTACAGCTCAATTTACATTAAGTTGAAGCAAAGGCAAAATTTAAAGTGTTTTGAGTTCAAAATAGGGGTTTGATGATTGGAGTAGAGCACAAGAAGCAATTACAGGTTACTAGTGATGTTCTATTTCTAAATTTCAATGTTAGTTATACAGTTATGTTAACTTTTGTATTAACTGTAATTTTTATAATGTTTTCTCTTGTTATAATTGATTAAAGAGTTTCCATTGAAAATAAAAAGAACTTTGAAGTCATGAAAAGTTTTCACTACCACTAGAGAATTTATACTACCAAAATAATGTTGATCTTTAAAGTAGTCATATTTTGACTTTACACTGCATTTATCTCTGCATGAGACTAGCACTACATAATTTATTGTCTATATTTTTGGAATTGCTTTTGAATTCCTTTGTGCAAAGTATTTTAAAAATCAGTATTATAACCATTCTTTAATCTCTTTCGTCAATATTAAATGCATTAAAATATAACAAGTAAATGATAAATTTTTACATTAAATTACTACAACCATTATAAGATAAACCAGTATTGTAGACAAGTGGAAACTTAGAAAACTTGCTTTAAACAATGTGGTAGTAAAAATGATCACAGTGTCATTTTCAGAGAGCACTGAGATACTTATAAATCTAAAAAAATGCAACTCAGGTTATTATTATGATATTCCCCAGGAAAAGTGAGGATGAAATAAGTGATTTTACCCTTGTGGCTCTCTAGCAGTCTTGCCATGAAAATTCTGTTGATGTAACCTAAGTAGGATATTTATTTACAATAGCTGCTCAACGCAGATACTACCACACAAGTGTTATTAATGTGACATTTTAATAAGCTTTTTATAAAATAGGTAAACATGCCAGTTTTTAGGTGAACGTAAGTACAAAATACACAGGGAGTAGGCTCACTACTTAATATTCTTATCTGTTGAAAATTATTCTTAAAGGAAAGCACATAGAAATACACTGAAAGCATATGTTTCTTAGCATACTGAAGTATAGATTTCAGAATAATTTTGTGAAAGTTATGATTGCTGCATTCAAAATTTAAGAATATGCATAAGTTCTAAAATATCTGACATTCAGTCTATCATTTCACTTGGAATTTTCATCCCATGTATCATTGTTTTTACTTTATATTGTTTCTAATGTGATTGTTTTTACTTTCTATTTTTTCAACTTGACCGTAGACCTGCATTTTGCCCATAAGGAAGTTTCGATATGCGTTTCATCATCAGTCAGGCCGCTGTTAGAATCATCCTTTTAGATCTTAAGCTTGGTTATAATTTGATGTAAATTTCTTTAACAGTCCAGCGATCAGGAGTCTGATGTTTTCCAGCAGGAAAACTTCATTTATGTGCAGGGTTTTTTATGTTTTTGTTTTTGATCTCCCTCGCTTTCTTGCTTTTGGTGAAGCTGCTGTTTGGAGGCAAAAGCTCTTATTTGCAGGCCTTCTTGTAAGAAACACCTGTTGGCATATCTTTTTGTGTTACTGTCAAGGTATGAGAGAGAAGTCAGTTTTGTAGCTGGGATTGTGATGTGTTTTCCCAATTCAGCCAATTGAATATTTTTGAACCACAAAAGCAAAATGGCTTCTGAGTTGTTTGTTCATTCTTGGTCCTCTATCTCCCATACTCACTCCAACAACATTAGGGTGGTCAGTGACCTTTGGACGAGTTGTTCACTGTGCATTTGTGATGAGTAGCTGTGATTTTTCTTAATAGGGGGATATTTTGAATGACCCTTGCAGGGTCATCATTTTGTACTGTATTTGTTGAGCTAGCATCCTTTACTGCTTTCCTACCTGTATTAGTCTGTGTTCATATTGCTATAAAGAACTGCCCGAGACTGAGTAACCTATAAAGAAAAGAGGTTTAATTGAATCACAGTTCAGCATGGCTGGGGAAGGCTCAGGAAACTGCCAATCATGGCAGAAGGCAAAGGGTAAGCAAGGACATTCTTCACAAGGCAGCAGGAAGAAGTGCTGAGCAAAGCGGGAAGAGCCCCTTATAAAACCATCAGATCTTATGAGAACTCACTCACAATAACACCATGAGGGGAACCATCCCCATGATTCAATTATCTCCACCTGGTCTCCCTTGACATATGGAGATTATAGGGATTATGAGGATTACAATTCAAGATGAGATTCCTGTGGGGACACAAAGTCTAACCATATCACTACCTAAGGATAGATTTCTTTTGTTATTTACACTGGCTTTAAGTTTAGTGTAAATTATTTAAATTCCTTGAGAAGTTTTGTTTGTTTTGTTTTTGAGACAGCAGAATGTAGCTATGTTGCCCAGGCTGGAGTGCAGTGGTGCAATCTCAGCTCACTGCAAACTCCACCTACAGGGCTCAGAGGATTCTTCCATATCAGCCTCCCTAGTAGCTGGGATTACAGGCACACACAACCATGCCCAGCTAATTTTTTTTTTTTTTTTTTTTTTAGTAGAGACAGGGTTTCACCATGTTGGCCACGCTGGTCTTGAACTCCTGACATCAGGTAGTCTGCCCACATCGGCTTCCCAAAGTGCTGGGATTACAGACGTGAGCCACTGTGCCCAGCCGAGAAGTAGTTTTAAATACTTAAATGTTCAATACTATAATCCAAAATTAGTGACTTTAAATGAGAGAATCTTAATTCAAGTCCTGGCTCTTTCGCTTTCGAACTATATGAAATTGGAGAAATTATTTCAAGACTCAGGCTTTAGTTCATTCCTCTATATTATAGAAACATTTCGTAGGTTTGTTGTGGAGTTTAAATAAGTTAATATACAGCACTTATAAGAATGTCTGGCAGGTATCACACACTACATTAAGATTAGCTATTGTACTTCTTATTGAATATAGTCTTGAGGTATTTTTTTAATATGTGACTTGCTACTTTAGAATTCCAAAGAATAACTTCTATCCCTTGATATATATATATAGCATAAATATATCTATTTCATAATATATATTTCATAAAGGTATAATATATATTTTATAATGTATAATGTATATTTTATAACATAGTATATATTTTTATAATATATAATATATATTTATAATATATGTTACAACATATATATTTTATAACATGCTATATATAACAACATATATATTACAACATATTTTACAACATACATATTTTACAACATATACTATATATTTTACAACATATACTATATATTTTACAACATATAATATATATTTTACAACATATATAATATATAATATATATTTAATTTTTGTTGATAATCTGTGTGATTCAGTACTAGGTAACATAAACCATAGTTTACTATAAAAATGCGATACAGGCAAAGAAGATAAATACATTTGTATCAGGAACTAATTGTACAATATAATAACAATTTATCTATTAAATATCTGCTTACCAAAGGAGTTACAGAAACATAATTATAATTATGGCCTTCAAGACCCTTGAAGTCTGGTAGTGTCAACATTGCCGTAAGAACTTATAGGTGAGAGTTTGAAAGGTAGGGAGAGTGCTAGTAAAAAAGAGTAAAGAGTGTCACAAAGTGTTACGTGTAGTTAGTTAAAAAGTATAGCTAAGTCCTATAGCTATGGTGCATAACTGCATTGAATTAAATAATCTTCTGTAATTTATCACTTATTTAGTGCTTCATTTATTCATATTTTATGCATTAAATATTAACATCCCAGATATATTTATAGCTAGAAAACATTTTTCATAAAAGTTAAACATAAATACACTACAAGTATACTACCTGCCCTTAAGAATAGTATAAGTTTTCTTTACCTTATACCCCCCAATCCCCTAATAAGATAAATTTGACAAAGTACCACTTTAGGTATTTTGGGATGTAGAAGGAATGTGTATTGACTGAAATAGTGGGTTTCCTAACAATAATGTCATAGATGATATGGATTATTGATTTTTTCAGAAAAGTTCACTATGTAGCATTAAGGAAGACTTTATTCAAGACATCACAGTAGGGGTCTAGACTACTTGTGGGGGAGAGAGATTGAACTCAATGCCAGAAAAACAAAAGGAGGGAGAATTTTGAAGGGCTAGAGTGAAGGGTTATGCATGGAGTTTAGTTAAACTCAGTAGGTCATCTGTGTTCCCTCATTGGTGCTACTGTAAGTTAGGTTCCTAAGCTCTCACAAGAACTGAGAATTATGGGCATTTTCTTACTTGATTACATTTCAAAAGAATGGCTTCTTGGTTCATAAGAAAGATATTCTTCATTGTAAAACCAGTAAGAGGTTGGCAGACGATTTACATCTCAAAGTGGCAGAGAAAGAATTTACAGTTGAAAGTTTTCAAAATTAAATGCTCTGAGAAAATGGATATCAGAAGTCTATATTCAGGAAGCTGGAGAAAACGTTAAGGCTTCCTTGGTCAATATCCTACTTTAAGTATTTATAGTTCTATTTTATATTCCTTAGCATACTCATAGGTAGACTAGAAAAACAAAACAAAAAACCAACCAAAAAAAGAGAAAGCTCTACAATAAATAATAGCCAAACGTGTGAAGAAAGTTTCAATATGTGACCATGATGCTAATTCAGTCTTGCTATTTAATGTTTAACAAGACTCACAGATAGTAACAATGAGACTTCACAAAAAGGCAGAGACGGATTCAGTGTAGACTCATGTCTCAGAGTAATAATGAAATTGCACACACATCACTGTTTTTGGATCTTGAACTTGAACCTACTGCTATGTTAATGCACAATGTAATGATTCAAAGGTTGCCCTGATTTGCCAGAATATATTTCATTCAGTGTGAACAGATGGTGTCGCATTTAGACAAATTGTTCCTTGAAACAAAAGATTCAGTTCTCTGCTTTATAGAAGATACACATTCTGCCAACTATTTTTTTCAAGTAAACATCATATTAGATAAATAAGAAAAACAATTATAATTATGGTGAAATTACCTATCAGCACTGGTGATTTCCTATGGACCACATTTTCACTTAATAGTCTTCCATAGATGGAACATATTTTTAACTCCAATGACATTGACATTTCAAATGTTAAATATTACTGAACTATGGGGATTTGCAATTAAATTATAAAATGATGCCAGATAACTATATAAAAGCTATATTTTCTAAATCGCCCTACAATATTTTAAAATACAATTTCCCTTAATTTTTGAACAATTTCTGGTAAGTAGTGGAGGAAAAGGAAAACAGGATTCTCTCAAGATGGAGAAGATGAGGGTGTGATGTATATTATATGTACTTTTATTAATTTTAAATATAACAAAAACCAAATGTTTTCAATTGAGTTTTTTTAATTCAGAAATTATATCCATATGTTTTGCTAAAATTTTACATGTATTTAACATTCTTTTGTATTTATAGTTTTTATTTTTTCAATTTAATTTTTATTTTATTCAAAGGATACATGTTCTTGTTTGTTACCAGTGTATTACATGTTTAATAGTGGGGTTGTGGCTACTAGTGTACTCAGGAACCAAATATTGGACTCTGTACCCAGAAGGTTAGTGTTTAACTCATACATCTTTGCTACTTCCCCTCTTTTGAGTCCCTAGAGTCTGTTTTCTCCATATTTATGTCCATGTGTATCATCTGTTTAGCTCTGACTTAGAAGTGATAACACACGGTAATTATTTTCTGCTGCCGTGTTAGTTCGCTTAGGATAATGGCCTCCAAATACATCTGTGTTGCTGCAAAGGATATCTTTTTGTTCTTTTTTTATGGCTTCATAGTTTCCTTGGGGTATCTGATCAACTGCTGGTGGACACTTAGGTTGGTTCCATGACTTTGCTATTTTAAATAGTGCTGTAATAAACATACAAGTGCAGATGTCTTTTTAATGAAATGACTTATTTCCCTTATTCTACTACATACCCAGTATTGTGTTTGCTGGGTCTAATGGTAGCTCTATTAGTAGAGATATCTTTGAGATATCTCCATACTGTTTTCCCTAGAGGCTGAACTAATTTACACTCTCATGAACAGTGTATGAGCATTCCCGTTTCTCTGCATCCACACCAACATTTGTTTTTTGACTTTTTAATAAAAGCCATTCTAACTGGTGTAAGATCATAGCTCAGTGTGGTTTTAATTTGCATTTCGCTTATGATTAGGGATTTTAAGCATTTTTTCATGTGTTTGTTGGCCATCGTATTTCTTCTTTTGAAAAATGTTCATGTTCTTTGCCCAGTTTTTAATAGATTTTTTTTTCTTGTTGAGTTCTTTGCAGAGTCTGCATATTAGTACTTTGTAGGAAAAACTCTTCCAAATATTGACCTAGGCAAAGAATTTATGACAGAGACTTTGAAAGCAATGCAACAGAACCAAAAATAGACAAATGAGACTTAAACTAAAAAGTTTCTGCACAGCAAAAAAATAAGCAACAGAATGAATGGACAACCTACAGAATGGGTGAAAATATTTATATGCAGTGTTTTTTTTAACTTAAAAACTGCAATCTCAATATGTGATCAATTATGTAATAACAGTAATTGCTTTACCATCACTATCACCATCATTATAATCATCAGTATCATATTACCATCATCATATATTAACCTAGAATGCAGAAAAATGAACTAAAAACACTTCCTTTATCTCCAAATACTACAACTACTAAGTTGTTTCTCTGTTTCTCTTGAGCAGTATAAGAGCTCTGTATATCTGTATCACTTTTATTTACCAACCTTTGCTGAAATGTTCCACAGAAACTGCTGTTGTTAAAACATTAAACACATATTTCATATATATATGAAATATATATATTTATATAATATATATTAATATATTATATAAATTTATATAAAATATAAATAAAATTTATATAAATATATAAACCCAAGGTTTGCTATTATTCTTACTTAACCTTTTAACATCCTCAATTTCCCTGTGTAAATGGTACCATAGTTGTTTGGTTGCCCAAGCCAAAATTTTGAGGTTATGTTTGGCTCTTTGTTCTCCATTTGTCTCCATATAATCTCTAGAGGTGATATAAATTTGTAGTTATATCTATCAACTTCTCTGCACTTGCTGCTGCCACTTACCCTGTATATGTCCGTAAATATATTCTTGTTTATTGCAGTTCTCCTAACTTGTCAACCTTCTTCTTATGTCTCTCTAACCCATTTTCTGCATGGCACACAGAACTATCTTTGAACAAGAGGATCATGTTACTCTAGTTAAAAGTGTTTAATTACTTTCTTGTGTATTTAGATTAAAATTAAAACTCATTTAAATGCTGCTTTCTGTTCAAGTGCCTACTTATCTATATAACTTAAATTTCACGTTCTTACCCATGCCCATTTTATTCTATCTGACCTGGCCACTATTCTTTTTTTTTTTTTTTTTTTTTTTTTTTTTTTTTTTAATTGAGACGGAGTCTCGCTTTGTAGCCATGGTTGGAGTGCAGTAGCGCGATCTCGGCTCACTGCAAGCTCCTCTTCCCGGGTTCACGCCATTACCCGGTCTCAGCCTCCCGAGTAGCTGGGACTGCAGGTGCCTGCCACCACGCCCGACTAATTTTTTTTTTTTTTTTTTTTGTATTTTTAGGAGAGACAGGGTTTCACCGTGTTAGCCTATTCATTTTCTTAAACATAGCCACTGCCTCGGTGTTTTAAAGACTTCAAACAAGATTATTTTTGTAAGATATTTCCCTAGGTTTCTCCATTGCTCTTTTCATCTTTTAAGAATCAATTTTAAAGTTACCTCCTCAAAAATACTTTATTATTTCAATCTTAAGTTTTACTCTATTTTCTATTAATTTTGCTCATACGCTATGTCTCAATTTGTCACCGAATATTGCTTGCTTACTTTTTTGTTGTAACCATGGTGAAATTACCTATCAGCTCTAGAAATTTCCTATGGAGCGCATGTTTCTTTTATAGTCTTGAAGTCAGAATTTTTAAAAAATTTATTCCCTAAATGAGACAATTTTTAAATTATGTTTCCCAGTGGCATACCAACTACAGTATACACTTTGGGTGATAGGAACTGTGTGTGTATTCTGGACTGCTTTATATTCGGTGAATGGCACAACAATTGGCACATAAGGCTCTAAGTTATATATAAATAGGTTGAATCAATTAAAGAATTGGGGAATAAGATAAAGTTTTTCCATGGAGAAAGAGTAAACCTTTTGCAAATTTCCACCGCTTTCTTAACCAAAGTCTAGAATATTTTCTTTTATTTTTTCTTACCACAAACAGAGGAAATACTTTAAACTGAAGCCTGCGTTTCATTATGCTACATGATAGAAACCCAAATTTGGAAATCCATTTCAATTTTTATTATATAAAACACTATATTTTGATGGTGACATCCTTTTGACAAACACATTCCTTGGTAGAATAGATTGTTAGCCTGATCCACCAAGAAAAAAAATTAAATTACAAAAATAAAATAAAAAGCTTCCATGCATTACATCTTTGACTGCTATGCTGATTTCATATATACTAAACTGTTACAGATTTACAAGGAACATGCTATAAATGTAGCCTACTGATCAAAATTTCTGAGTATCATTGGTTAGCAATTACTGAGTTCCTTTGCTTTGAGAAATAGAGTAATGAATAAATAACTTTGAAAAGGAGGCTTGCACTGTTTGTCCTCATCTCAAAGTAGAAGAGTATCTACCATACTCTACTTGAACACAGCTGGAAGTCTTAACGAATAAGAACATCAAGTTCTCCTTCAAGCAAGGTTAATTTAGAGCTTTTCTGCCTTCAGAACCATCCATAAATTAATTTCTACAACCTATAACATTTTTATTAGCTCTTTCAGGAGAAAATTTGAATGTAATGTGCATAAAAATCCTATAATCTCACGTTTCCTGTATAAGAATGAGATGAAATACCATATAGAAGTTTCTGTCCTCTATTTTATGCTTATCAATTAGCAATGTTATCAAAATATGTGAGTTTCATGAAAGCAGTAAAAGACTAAATTACATGCTGATTAGAAATTTCTTTTCTGCTCTGATAATTTTTTCAATGTATCTTCTAGTTCCTATTTTTAATATAAAGTTGTTTTCTTGCTTATCTACATTGCTATAATCCATTGTGTATTACTTGCCGATAGATCCTTTTTTTTTTCCATTTCTCATTTTCTAGTCCATGATTACATAAACTTTATTACTTATTTAACTACTTTCCTAAGTTAACCAGGTTTCCTAAGCAACAAAATGGATTTTGGACTAAAAATATTACTGACAGACCATCTATCATTAATAAATTCAGACTGGCCTAATTTATTTTTAAATAAAGTATGACTAGCCTTTTTTAACCTTATCAAATTATATAGTGGTATTCAGCCAAAAAGGAGTTTCTTTTCTGGAACTGGTTTAAAATATACTTCAAGGTCTTTAAATTGTTAACTCATGACAGTGTGAAATTCTGTAATTTCTAAATTGTGATAGAATGTATAATTTCTTTCAAAAGAAGAAATTTCTTTTGAGGAACGTATGCAGTTTTGCCTTTATTCTGATATTTTTAACATATATTTAAATACACATGTATTCTTGCATAACTTAGGTGTGTATATGCACTGATTTTAGTAACATTCTTTAACATGTAGATGTGTATATATCAGTAACATATGTTAATAAAATGATATCTGTAATTATATATGGCATAAGTAAAAGTAAAGAAATTGAATCCAACAGCCAAATAAGGAATAAAATATTAAATATAATTTAGAAACTGTCTCCTCAACATGACTAATTCTTCCTTTCTCTCTTCCAAAATCAAATATTCTGAATTTTATGTTAAACATTTTATTGCTTTTAATTAATTTTTTTAAATTTTTATAATTCTTATACTTCATATAAATGGATTGTATTATGTGTATCTTTTCTGGAAGTATGCTTAGTATGATTTACAGAATTATTCACATTGAAGCCTGTGCGTGTATTTTTTTTTTTTTTGTAAATATAGTAATCCATTGCACATATATAAGACAATGTGTCTCCTTTGTACTATAGATATAGTCAATGCCTGACTTATGCAAATATTATACTATTAATATCATTGTGCGTATCTCCTGAGTATGCTTTTATATGATGTTACAGGGAACAGGAACTTACGGGTCATAGTTTGTTCATATTCAAATTTGCTATGAAAGATTAAATGTTTTTAAAAGTGAGTCTACCAATCAATGTACATTTGATGTACATTTGTCCAGGGATAAGCAGCAGAATTTATTTATTTATTTTTTTGAATCAGAGTCTCACTCTGTCGCCCAGGCTGGAGTGCAGTGGTGCAATCTCAGCTCACTGCAAGCTCCGCCTCCCGGGTTCACGCCATTCTCCTGCCTCAGCCTCCCGAGTAGAGTAGCTGGGACTACAGGAGCCTGCCAGCAAGCCAGGCTAATTTTTTTTTTTTTTTTTTTTTTTTGTATTTTTAGTAGAGACGGGGTTTCATCGTGTTAACCAGGATGGTCTCAATCTCCTGACCTCGTGATCAACAGATTTTTTTAAATCACAAAAATGTAAACATTTGACACTGTGCAACATTATAAAACTTCTTTGAATCTATTGGATATAGAATATTATTTCAATTTCAATTTACATGCCCCATTTTTAAATTTGTAAGTTTTTCTTATAGTCACAAGACATTGGTATTTTCTTTTCTGTAAACTGTTTTAGCATAACTATTTGTCAAAAAATTATAATCTAAAATAATAAACACCTATAAATTATAGCATGCGTATTCATGGTTGATGCTTATACCTGGCCGTTTCTCCATTTTCTTGTACTTTAATAGATGTTTCTTATCTATTTTAGATTATGGTTTTTCTGACAAATAATTATGCTAAAATGTTTTCCTGTCTGTGCTCCCCTTTTTTTCGTTATACTACTTATGTGTTTTTTTAATTGAACAACTAATTAAATATGATATAGTCTCATTTATCAATTCTTTTATGACACATTATTTTAGCCTTATTAAAATTATTTTCCCTGTGTAGAATTAGAAAAATCTAATCATACTCGACACTTCAAACTCTGTGATAGTACATATTTATCAACTCGTATTCACGAATATTCACTAATTCATATTAATTAACCAATAACACCATAAATTATAGCTATAAAGCTGAATGGCATTTGGTGGATTCCATGAGCGTAATTTAATTTGTAATACCTTTAATCATTTTACTTAGCTTCTGCTATTAGGTTTTGTGTATTTCATGCAGCTGGGTACATGCATGTTATACATACTTACGTTCTCCTTCTCTACTAGTCCATTAGGGAATAGATAATCTTGTTTAAGGGAAGTACAAATCTTAAAAAAAAAAATGAGCCTATGAAAGTGTGGGAAATTCTTTAGAAATGTGCAAAAAATTTAAAGCTAATAATGTGCAATAAAAAATAGAAAATTTATTAAAGATGGGACTCTAAGAATAATGACATCCTTTTAGTTTCAAAATATGAAAAATGTAGAGTTAGAATTGATACAAAGTTTAGAAGATATAAAAGTGTGAGAAATATATATAACTTTCTATAGAGGAGGAAATATTAACTCAAAAACATAATAAAAAAAGAAAGTAGAATTTAGAATAACCTAAACTAAAATAAATGTCACAGGAAAGAAGCTATAAGCAACTTTAGTTATCTGTGCTCAGGATAACAGTGTACTATAGTGGTAGAAGAATACCAAATATTTGACAAATAATCACATATGGGTTTATGGTTCTAATTGTATTACAAGGTTCACAAATATTCAAGAATATCATTAAATTGAAATGTGGTGAAATTAGTTTTCTTTTTTTGGATCTTCTCAGTCTTCCAAATTCTACTCATTGGGGGAAAAATAAAGCCTGCTAAGATGTCTGTCTAATGTGAATTTGAAGTTCAAAATGAGATTTTCAAGGCTCAAAAATAAAATTAGCAAGTAAAATAAGTGTATACATAATGGAATGCTAGAGATCTAATAGTTTATAATGGATTAGGATAATAATTGGTTTTCCTTGAATATTTCATCCTTTTATGTCTACTTGAGTATTCTATTACAATCATGCAATTTCATTTTCATGTTGGGTATTTCTATTCAATAGTACAGCAATATGAATAAACTTTATTCTTTTATTAGGTCAAAAAGTAGAAGTAGAATGTTTTAGGGGCTGGGCGCTGTGGCTCATTCCTGTAAACCCAGCACTTTGGGAGGCTGAGGCGGGCAGATCACCTGAGGTCAGGAGTTCAAGACCAGCCTGGCCAACATGGTGAAACCCTGTCTCTACTAAAAATACAAAAATTAGCCGGTCATGGTAGCAGGTGCCTGTAATCTCAGCTACTTGAGAGGCTGAGGCAGGAGAATTGCTTGAACCTGGGAGGGGGAGGTTGCACTGTGCTGAGATCCTGCCATTGCACTCCAGCCTGGGCAACAAGAGTGAAACTCAGTCTCAAAAAAAAAAAAAAAAGTACTTATCTCTATATAATTTTCATCACTTATATTTTAAATAGAAATTCTTAACTATGTTATTATTTCATGTGTAAAAAACTAAATGTAAAACACTTATGCAAACTTGTAGATTTTATCCATCATATTTCATCTAGTTTTCAGTACTTTAAAATTAAATTATTGATACTGCATAAAACATAGCTTTTTTATGATCTCTATAGTCCTATCTAAAAATTTAACCCATCCCCCAGCATGTTTATGATGACACTGTCATTAAAAATGATTTTGCATATGGACATCACCAACATTTAAGCTTCACAATTGGATTAAAAAAGAACAGTTTAGTATATGCAAAATCTTAAAGATTTGAGAAATAAATGTATTAAAACACATAAACCTAGAGATGACATAAATGCATTTTTGGTCACAGGATATATATTTGCTTCTTATATTTTATAAGAGAATGGAACTTCTGGATATAGAGTATAGTTATTTTGTGAGAATATCATTAAAGAAACTTTGGTAAACTTGTTAATTGCCGAGAGCAGCTAGGTCAGGGAGACCCTAACCCAGCGGCACTAGAGGAATTAAAGACACACACAGAAATACAGAGGTGTGAAGTGAGAAATCAGGGGTCTCATAGCCTTCAGAGCTGAGAGCCCCAAACAGATTTACCCACGTATTAACAGCAAGCCAGTCATTAGCATTGTTTCTATAGATATTCAATTAACTAAACGTGTCCCTTATGGGAAACGAAGGGATGGGCCAAATTAAAGAAATAGGTTGGGCTAGTTAACTGCAGCAGGAGCATGTCCTTAAGGCACAGATAACTCATGCTATTGTTTGTGGCTTTAGAATGCCTTTAAGTGGTTTTCTGCCCTGGGCGGGCCAGGTGTTCCTTGCCCTCATTATGGTAAACCCACAACCTACCAGCGTGAGCATTACGGCTATCATGAACACGTCACAGTGCTGCAGAGATTTGGTTTATGGCCAGTTTTGGGGCCAGTTTATGGCGAGATTTTGGGGGGCTTGTTACCAACAGTTAATATCTGTGATTCTGCTAGAAATATTAATATATTCCATGGTAAAGTCTTTTTTAAAAAATATTTGATATGCCTAAAGATGAAATGTAGAAACAGTTAAACGAAATATGTGTATCTGTGAAATTCATTTTCAATATTTTCTTTAATATTAATCAGTTCATGTTTGTCAGTTGAGGGATGACCTTGTTTGTAATACATAGTTACATATATATGGGTAAGCATGAAGGTGTATATATCGATAAACAAATCCAAAATGTATAAAGTTTATTGATTTTTTTTAATTATACTTTACTTTTAGGGTACATGTGCACAATGTGCAGGTTTGTTACATATGTATACATGTGCCATGTTGGTGTGCTGCACCCATTAACTGGTCATTTAGCATTAGGTATATCTCCTAATGCTATCCCTCCCCACTCCTCCAACCCTGCAACAGTCCCTGGTGTGTGATGTTCCCCTTCCTGTGTCCAGGTGTTCTCATTGTTCAATTCCCACCTATGGGTGAGAACATGCAGTGTTTGGTTTTTTGTCCTTGTGATAGTTTGCTGAGAATGATGGTTGCCAGCTTCATCCACATCCCTACAAAGGACATGAACTCATCATATTTTATGGCTGCATAGTATTCCATAGTGTATATGTGCCACATTTTCTTAATCCAGTCTATCCTTGTTGGACATTTGGGTTGGTTCCAAGTCTTTGCTATTGTGAATAGTGCCACAATAAACATACATGTGCATGTGTCTTTGTAGCAGCAGGATTTATAATCCTTTGGGTATATACCCAGTAATGGGATGGCTGGGTCAAATGGTATTTCTAGTTCTAGATCCCTGAGGAATCGCCACACCGACTTCCACAATGGTTGAACTAGTTTACAGTCCCACCAACAGTGTAAAAGTGTTCCTATTTCTCCACATCCTCTCCAGCACCTGTTGTTTCCTGACTTTTTAATGATTGCCATTCTAACTGGTGTGAGATGGTATCTCATTGTGGTTTTGATTTGCATGTGTCTGATGGCCAGTGATGATGAGCATTTTTTCATGTGTTTTTTGGCTGCATAAGTGTCTTCTTTTGAGAAGTGTCTGTTCATATCTTTCGCCCACTTTTTGATGGGGTTGTTTTTTTTTTCTTGTAAATTTGTTTGAGTTCATTGTAGATTCTGGATATTAGCCCTTTGTCAGATGAGTGACCCTAATACATTTTTAAAATGAGGGAAGGATATTTGTAAAGTGTTTATTTATGTCTTACCACCATCCCACAAAGTAGATACTTTAATTTATAATCTGACTCGGATTACATATCTTAGCTATCCTTGACCTATTATTTGGGAGAGCTGATATTTGAATGTAAGTATATAAGTTACAAATTTTGGTATAAAATTATTATAAATTTTAAAATTAATTATTGTATACTTATGATTAAATACTATTTTGTTGTACAAAATTATCTAAAATGGTTTTACAAATATTAATGTATTCCTTTTAGCTATATCCCAATTCCAATAAAAATCTTATTTATGTGACACTACCTTCATAATCAAACAATATTGAAGTATCTCTGTAAAATATCCTTCCCTTGGGATTCTTTCCCTATACTCGTTTTTTTCTCCCTAATATTTGTTATCAGCTGATGTAGGATTTATTTTTAATCTTCCTCTCCCTACTACAGCTTAAGCTCTAAGAATATTAATTTTTGTCTCTAATTCGTATTGCACTATAAGTGTTGCATACCTAGCACATGAAACTTTACCTGGCACATGGTGGTGTCAATGATAACACTTTACTACGATTGCTGCTGCTACTACTAGTGCTTCTACCGGTGGAACATTCCTAACCTGAAAATCCAGAATTCAAAATGCCCCCAAATATGAAATTTTTTGAATGCTAACATGCCAGCACTGTGGAAAATTCCACACCTGACCTCGTATTCTTTGAAATATGGTATAAAATTACCTTTGGGGGATATATATAAGGTATAAATGAAAAATAACTGGACATTGTGTTGAAATTTGGCTGTCATACCCAAAATACCTCATTATGTACATGTAAATACTCCAAAATCTGAATAAATCTGAAATCCAAAACATGTCTTGTCCCACGTAGTTTAAATAAGGGATATTGAATTTGTATTACTACTAAAGTTAACATCTGTGCAGAGCTTGTCATGTTCCAGGAACCATTCTTAGTTTTTTTACATATAACACATTTAATATTCAAAATAACTTTATGATGTATGCAGCATAATTTATTCCAGAAGAGGAAACTGGGGTGCAGAAAGGCTAAGCAAGATCTTGCCAAATTTCCCACACTAGTAAAATTTGAAGCCTGAATTTAGCCCTTAACTAGTTTATATTCTATAGAATTCTACTTTATACTCATTTTTCTACCCTCGCTCTGAAGATATTATTTAAAATTAAACAACAGTGATGGGATTTCACATATGTACAATTAAAAACATTATAGATCAGAAAATGACTTAATTATCAGTGAATTTTTGATCACTTGCAGTTTATCATAAATGTAATTTCTTAAGTGATTTTCCTCTCTGAAATACTTAATATGTGTTGAAAGTAAAAACTAGGTAATACCATTTTCCCCTTTCTCTTTAAAGCATTATTCTAAGTAATGAATCCTTAACAAATGACCTGGAAATATTTTAATCAGTTTATTACTCTCTCAATAGAAATTTATTTCTTGGTAGATAATTTGAAAATAACTGCTACATTGGCTATGACAATCATTTTATTGTTCAATGTAATTTGTGATATATGTCTTAAAAAGACTCTTTAAAAGTAATTTTAATATCTGTGTTGTAGTCGAATTGTAATATTGATTACAACAGTTATTTAAGGTAACATCTATTATTAAGGATGCATTTATAAAGAAGTTGAAATAGCCTCAGTTCACTGTTTCATTATACAGAATTCAAATTTAGCCAAAAAACAACTTGTTGGTTTAACTTTTTTTCTTTTTTTGCTACTGAGTCTGGCTCTGTGGCCCAGGCTGGAATGCAGTGGTGCGATCTGTTGGCTCACTGCAAATACCTCCCGGGAATTCAACCAATTCTCCTGTCTCAGCCTCCCGAGTAGCTGGAACTACAGGTGCCCACTGTCATGTCCTGTTAATTTTTGTATTTTTAACAGAGATAGGGTTTTACCTTTTTGGCCAGGCTGGTGTCGAACTCCTGACCTCAAGCAATCCACCTGCCTCAGCCTCCCAAGGTGCTGGGATTACAGGCATGAGCCACCATACCCAGTCAGGTTTAACATTTTAGAAACGCAAGTTGTTGACTCTCAAAAGAGAAATGTAACTGAACATATACAATAATATGTTGTATATCTCAAGATGAAAACATGTGAGTTCCCAATGCTGTTTATAAGTTGCCACACGGGAAGACACAACTTCTTGCTCCACAAAAGCTACATTATAAATAGTGTTTACTTCTCAGAAGGGACAAAAGAGGCTATTTTTTGCATTAAATTGTTCATTTATTTATCCAACTAGCTTTAATTGAGAGCTTATTATATCCTAGGCTGTGGTCCAGACCTGTCAAAACAGCTGGGAACTAGATAAAGAAGGTTTCTCTCCTCTCTGCATTCATCTTTTCATAAGGAGACAGGAATAAAGCAAATTAATTAACATATAGATATATTAAAATTTTCAGAAAATGATAACTGCTAACACTTAAAATGATAGTGTGATTAAAAATAAGTGTGTATGTGTAAGTTATTTAATGAAGTTATTTTGGGTCATAACCTGAGTAATGAAAAATGGCCATATATGAACCCTATTTATGTATTTATTCATTTATTTTGAGATGGAGTTCACTCTTGTCACCCAGGTTGGAGTGAAATGGTGCAATATTGGCTCACCGCAACCTCCACATCCTGGGTTCAAGCAGTTCTCTTGCCTCAGCCTCCCAAGTAGCTAGGATTACAGGTGCATGCCACCACGCCTGACTAATTAGTATTAGTAGAGATGGAGTTTCACCATGTTGGCCAGGGTGGTCTCAAACTCCTGACCTCAGGTGATCCACCCACCTCAGCTTCCCAAAGTGCTGGGATTACAGGCGTGAGCCACTGCTCCCGGCCTATGAACCCTATTTATGTAAGAGGGGATGGTATTCTAGATATAAAAAAACAGATAATAAAACTCAGGACAGTCTGACAAAGGAAAGAAAGAACCGTGATGCAGCTAGCTACTTTAAGGTGATTGAAGGACCAAGCTGAAGTCAAACTCAGGTACAAGGAGGACAGGAGAAAGAGAGACTGTTTCCTGAGGCCTGCTCCTGAGGCTTGGTGGGGGGGGGGCCCAACATGTAATAGAAGACCTTAACGAGGGCTATGAGAATTACATGCCAGGAGCCGTGGACCAAAACCAATAGTATACATAATCATAACATCACAGGCCATCCCCTGGTTTTCCAACACAGATCCTTTACATCAAAAGAATATACACTTCAGCATAATTGCATTGTTTGTATAGAAAAGATAAATGCTTGAGGGGATGGATACCCTATGTTACATGATGTGAATATTCACATTGCATATCTGTATCAAAGGAGGTCACATATCCCATAAATATATATATACACACACACACTATATACCCACAAAAATTAAACTAAAAAAATCTTTAAAAAATACACAACTCAAAAGATACTGCCACGTTGCTAGAATCCCATTTAGTCATTAATAATGAGTCTAGTCTATCATCATATTGTATGAATATGTCTCCCAGGGAGAGGCCACTCAGATTTATAAGCTTTTTTCTTTTAATCTTGTCAGGTTTCAAAAGCAGGAGTGGTCTCAGCAAACATAGACCCTTTTACTTTCAGGCATCTGGAATAATTGAGCTAACAGACAATGCCATCTCTTGCTGTGAGCCTCTATCAAGATGTTAATGTAATGTTGGATTTCCTTGAATTTATAACCCATTCATTCATTTCTTTATCCTCCGCTACTATTTCTACTCTCCATCAACACCCAGACTTTTTCGCCTTTGGAAGGGACATTAGAATTGCTACTGTGCTGGTCCAGATTGCACGCAGCAATACTAGTCTGGCAACTACCTCTGCCTTGGCCCACTCCCATTCTGATAGGGTAAAGTTACATGGGTGTAGATCTGGTGAGCTACTTTTTCCATCAGGTGATACGGCTACATTCATTTTTAGCCCCAAGTTTGTTAGATGACATGGAGGACCCATCCCCATCAGACCCTTAGGAATTCCAACCTAAAGTTTAAAAACATAGTGACAGTTTATTGCTTAGAAGTTATGCCCACTTCCAGCACCTGTAGTTGCAGCCCTGCTTCTAGGACCACTGCATTAGGTAGGGGAGGAAAAAAAATAGGGTGATTTGAGGAAGAAAGAACAAATTATAGTCATTATACTAGTGTACTCTTCCCTTGGCAAGAATAGCATAGTTATGTCAGCATCCTTCCCACCTCCTCTTTTCCAGATTTACCAGGAAAACAGAAAAATCTAATGGGGACATTCTGTTAGTCTCACGCTCGTGAAGGCAGCCCTTCGTGTTTTTATCTCCCCTGTTTTAGACAACTGATATTTAAATTGCCCACTTTACTTCTCTACCAAACTATCACTCTGAGGAGGGGACCTCTCTGCCCGTTGTTGGACATTATGGGCTGTGCAATGTGTTCCTTGTTCTGAAGAAATGACAGTTGACCATCCAAATTTGTGCAGTATATTCTGTTCTGTTTTATTTTAATGACACTCTGAGTATTTGCATATTTTACCAGTAAGCAAATCTCAGTCTAAAGTCAGTGTCTATTTCTGTCAAGACCCATTTGTAGCCCCTATGGCTACCAGTGTCAGTCTCACTTGCCAGCTATCTTCTGAGCCTTCTCATCAGGGAATCTGCCCCATAGCCATCTGTAGTTCTGTCTCTCTTGCCGACAATCAGAAGAGTGTTTATTGGCATTTTGTGCCTTAGAGTGTGCAAGCAAAAATGCCTATATTTCAGCCCATCTATGCGTTGCTTCAGAACCCCTATATCTAGTCATTTCAGGGAAGGTGGCCACCTCAAGGGAGCACACAGGGATGTCTACTTGTTGATTCTAGTCACCTTCTGAACCTGAAAGGGGGTTCTTCCAATGGCCATCAACCTGTCTTACTATAAGGTACAACTCAAATTTCTGTAGGACAGTGCCCCATATGGGGATCCTTTTAATAGGCCAGGCTTCCAATGCCTTTCTGCCTAATCATGTGGCCAAGCCATTGGCTACTATCCATGAATCAGTAAAAATGCAAACATAGGGACTTTCATCATTGTTTGATTTTGTTCATCAGTGGTAGGGAAATAGCATGCAATTCAACCCACTGAGATGACTTGTTTTTACCTTCATTGATCAAAGTAGCATCCTTCCAAAGAGGATGGTGTCCATTCATTTTAAAACTGTCATCCAAAAACCAAGCAGTTCTTGGTTGGTCAGCTGAGAGCCATTTATAGGTCAGTGTGGAACCCAGCAGCTCCTCACACAGTTCCTGAGTCAGTCCTGGGGAAAAGAGACTTGCTGCTTATGAGGCTCTCTTCCATGCATTCCACAGGTAGCATGATCCTGTATAAACTACTTCCATTATTCAGAACTATTCTGGGCACTACCATCCCATTAGAGTGTTTCTCTGAAATCACTTGAGAGAGCATGGGTATTTTAGATGTCAAGATGAATTTTATGTCCTTCAGTCATAGGAGTAGTTTCAGTTAAAAGCCAGTTAGTAAATATGCCTCAAGTGGAAATTCTCTAGCCCAAAGTCCCAGGAGTCTTTGCTGGAAGGCTCTCACAGGCTGTTGCAATAAATACCAGGAAACACTCCAGAGAGAGTTATCAGGTGGGGAGTTTGTCCCTACCAGCACTCTCACTTCTACTCTACACTCTGTAGGCTAAGGCAATCTTACTGGTTCCCATTTAGCATGGCCAATTGATATTGTTTGAAGGGCAGCTTTAAATGCCTTCTGTTTTATAGTACCAGGTAGGGGGAAACATCTCTCAGTAAGACACAAGATCTATTCCCATAAAACCTTTGGGCAAAGGAGACACAGGGTTTTTACACAAAGCCAGTTTAAACATTTCAGCTTTCATAATCCTATCGACTCTTACATTTTTATAATCTAGTCCCAGGGACTTTTCCCCACCTTCAGACTATGTCACCTTCCCTTGTGCAAAAGGCTTTGGGTCCTCAGGAGTTGAGCCAAGGAACCCTGGCTTCTCTGTCAATAATTTCCTGGATTAATCAGTCTAACCATTACCTCAGGAAATTCCAGGTAGGGTTTCTCATCATAATCTTTACCATCCGTCTTTTAAAGTTAAACTGGACTAAATGCAGCAAACTGGTTTGAGGCCCTCTCGTATTGGGAGACTACCAGGAATTCCACCCAACCTTCAATGGTATTAAGATCTTTGTTTCAGCCCCATCTATTTCCACTTTATTTCATTTCTCAATTTCCATCTAAAGATTTCCACCCTGCTTGGGATGAGTCCCATGACTCCTTTCTTTTCCTTTTAGTTTCACTCCTATCAATGTTTTATTTGTTTATGTTATTTTTAAATAACCATTTAGAAATTGTCACCTTCTGCTGTCAGTCCTTTTATTCTCCTTTTTGTCTTTCATTCTCTTGTAATTAACCTAATGTTTTTGTTAGCATCTGTAAGATCCAGGAGGGGTAGCTGAGACAGCAAGTTTGATAAGGCATCCGGAACTGTCACTGGCTTCTGTAGGAGTCACATCAGATAGGGTACCCACACAGAAGAGACCTCCATAACTACAGCATTTATCATGACCTAGGTAGTGGGCATATTCAGTAGGTGAATATCCCAGTCATCACAAAGACAGTCACACATGGGTTGCTTATGAAACGTATCAGCTGCTTCGTCTGGGGTGTTCCACTTGGCATTTATAAGGTGAAAACTGGCAGTCCCTTTTCTCTGTGTAAACAGACCTTAGAGTAGCTTTTATCTGGTCCACCAAGCTGGCTGTTACCTCAGGAATAACCTCCTGTGTGGCTGGATCATATACCTCCATCTGTGATTTTTCAATAGTGAGCTGTGGGTCCTGCATCAACCCAAACATGCTCTCCCACTCTGCAGCATTTGAAACCAAAGATACTGTTCCTAAATTAGTTATTCTCAGAATCCACTGTAGTAAAGGAAGCTGATGATACTGATGTACAAAACAGAACAATTTCTTTACACCATACCCTCTAGTTTCAGTAGTTACTTGGTTTTGTCCTTCCCCAGCACTGACTACTTCCTTGGAAACCAAAAGTCTCACAGGTACTTTCTGTTGTCCCTGCATAAATTTGCCCTTGTAGGGGTGGCTCTGAGGCTAGCGGCCTGAGCTCAGACAGACTGACAGCTGAGCTTGGTCAAGACTCAAGGCCCAACACAGCATTTTTTTTTTTTTTTACTTTCATTTTAGGTATTACTGGTAGCAATAACCAAGGCTAGCATGTATCACGTTTACCTTATTAGTTTGAATTTCCTTAAGTGTCTGGTAAACCAAATCCCTGAGAGTTGAATCCATGCCTGAATTCCACTGATAACTTTTATCTTTAGTAACTGAATGCAGCAAAATTGTGACTCCATACCATGAGTAACCACATAGCCACAGAGAAATTAAAGGTTCTTCATCCCCCATGCTTCTATCTTTTCTCTTCTGAAACCACATGTTTCTGTTAGCCTAGGCAGTCCTACCACATCCCGCTTCTGAGACCAATTGTCTGGAAACACTCTCAAGCTGTTTTTCTTCTGCTGTCACACCAACACATCGATCAACACAGAAGACTTTGTGACTACATGTGTGGGGTTTTCCCACCTCACACCAAGCTGTGGATACCAGCTAAGATTCCTCTAAGTCAATTCAACTCTGATACTACCTTCCTGGAGGCAGCCTGAGATCCCACAAGTTGAAGGGTCAGTCCCCAAGACTGTCCCATACCCCAGATACCAGTCACAAATCTGGCCTCTGGAACTTCCAGCTGACTGGTTGCAAGTTGGGGTTCCCATGACTCCCTCTTTGTGCTTCAATAATTTGCCAAAGCAGCTCAAAGAACTGAGGGAAGCAGTTACTTACATTTACCAATTTATCCTAAAGAGTATTACAAAGGATATCAATGAGGAGATGCATAAGACAAGGTGGGGGTGGGGTGCTGAGGTTCCATCCTCTCCCTGGGGCACCACTCTCCAGGAACTGCCAGATCCTCAGCTATTCAGAAGCTCTGTGAACACTGTCCTTTTGGGTTTTTATGGAAACTTTGTTACTTGGGCATGATTCACAACCAAGTAGAAATGTGATTGGGTGAAAAGAATATAATTGCATACTAATAGAGTGAGTGGGAAAACCTGACAGGGCCTGTCCGATCAGATTCTTCTTGGACTCTGGGTGCAGCATCCCTTTCTCCAGGAATAGGACAGGACCCTCTCTGGAATTAGGGTCTTTTGAGTCACAATTAGATTCCTGTCTTGGGCAAGTAAAAGGAAGATAGGTCAGAGAGAGAGAGAGAGGTTGATTCTCTTTGCTGAGGTCTGCCCCAGAGGCCTAAAATGCCCCAGCATTATAACAGAAGACTGTAACAAGCAAGGACTGTGGGAATTATGAGCCAGAAACTGAAAAACTGTGTGTGTGTGCATGTATACATATATACATATATATGACATATATCATACAATCACATGTTTATTTTAATGCTGTAGTCTTTTAGAGTATTAGAAGAATAAAAGTAATATAAACAGCACCCATATTTTCACCACCTAAAATTTAAACTAAGCTTTTTGTGTTCAATTTCAATCATTTTATTATGTAAGAAATAAACATTTCAGAAACAGCCAAGCGCCTTTTTATTCATGCCCCAATTCTATCCTTATCCTGCTGGCTTATGTAGCTTTTTAAAAAGTAATTTTTAAAATAGACTTTATTTCTTAAAAGTTTTTGGTTACAGAAAAATTGAGCAGAAGATTCAGAGATTGCATATATATCCCTTTCCCCAACACATGCATAATTTATTTTGTTATAATGTCCTCCACCAGAGTAGTACATTTGTTACAGTTGATGAATCTGTCATTTTCATCTAAGTTCTTAGTTTACATTATGGATCACTCTAGGTGTTTTTCATATTATGGGATTGGACAAACGTATAATGACATGTATCCACCGTTATATGATCCATATCATACATAGTGTTTGTACTTCCCTAAATATCATCTGTGCTCCACTTATTCATAACTTCTTCCTCACTATACCCCAACAACTTCTTTTTTTACTATCTCCATAGTTTTGCAGGATTTCACATAGTAGAAACATATAGTAGGTATTCTTTTCAGATTGGTATTTTTCAATTTAGTAAAATGCATTGAAGTTTTTCCATGTCTTTTAATGGCTTGATAAATAAATTTTTGTTAGTGCTGAATAATATTCTGTTGTCTGAACATATCACAGTTTATCCATTTATCTATGAAAGAACATGTAGACATTGGTTGCTTCCACATTTTGGCAATTATGACTAAAGCTAATATAAAAAACTATGTGCAGTTTGTGTAGATGTACATTTCCAACTTTTTTAGTGTCATTTTTTGACACTAAAGGCATTATGGTTACATTTGAACAAGAGCGCTCTTATATTTCAGAGATGCATACTGAAATATGGATTCAAAGGTGTAGTGACTGATGATTGCATATTATGAGATAAAGGTAAGTTGGAAAGACAAAAAATTGTGGGTTATTTTATTAAAAATTGATTTATGAGTACATGAAGATTCAGCTCACCTAATAAAAGGCTCATCTGGAGTCTTAGTTAATTCAGTCTTTTTTGCATCCACCATTTGTCCATCTTCTTAAAAGTAATGTGTACAAAATGTGTGTTTTTGTTTCTAGTTGTTAGAATGGGATTGATGGCATGTCTTTAGAAAATGTATTTTGCCACTTTTAATATATAACTTCAAGGATATTAGAAGAAGCCAGGTGACTTCATATATATGATAGTGTATTTCCAGGAGGCTTATGATTCCAGGAGATTTAAGGGGTAACATGCCATCTATTTGTTACTGGGACAGTGAGTGATAGGGTAATTGTTATTAGGAAAGGTCATATGAAGCAGATCCTCAAAACAATAATCTGACCTGAATTTTTTCCTAGATTCAAGGAATACAGAGTCATAGATCAAATATTTTATTTATCCAGGGAATACTCTCTTACCTGAAGAAAATGGAAAATAATCACCACTATTTTCTTCACAAATACATGCTACAGACAGTTGCTCCCTCAATGCCTTCCCTTCAATCTTTGATATATTCTGTGCCAGAAATAGTGATCATTTGACCATTTGTGATGCCTGCAAATGCCATGGATTACCCATTTTTCATTTCCTCTTAGGAAATGATTTATCTTAGGAATTCTTAATATGTAAGCAATCCAACCCCAGATCCCCACTTTGTGGATCTATTTTCCAGAGACTTTATAAGTACTAATTACTTTGTCAGTCAGTGACTAATAAGGGAACAGATGACACTCTCCAATTAAGATAATTCCAGAATTATTTGAAGGAGCAGAGATCTTCAGTAAAAGAAAAGTCCACCAGAAGTAAAGCAGGCAGATAAATGTCTCAAATCCACATTTGTTCCTTTCTTCAATTTCTTGCTGGGGCTCCTTTGTGGAAACCACAGGACAAGACAGTCCATTGATTTAGGGCCTATGTTTCAGACTCTCAGAGTAGAGAGCAAAGTGGGGCAGATTATAGCATTGATCTCTAGTGGTAAACAAAGAATACTTGGGAAACAGAGCTATCTCAGAGCTGTCTTCAGGTAGAATATGTCCTTTTGAAATAAGGTTAAGAATTTCAGAGTAAGGAGAAGGATTTCATACCCAAATGGAGGGGAACAAAGAAGTTTCATGATCAAGTCCCTAGTTTGGCAAAACAGAAGCAAAAATGTAGGAGTTGTTTTATGACAAAGATAAGGGTAATTAATTCAGTTTAACAGTATAAAGCCAGTTTTCATGTTACTGATACATGATGATTGAATATCTGACCCTGACCTACTGAACTTTGCAATGGAAAGAGTTAAAGAAAGGCTCAATATTCTTGTTTTTATTTTTATTTTTATACTTTAAGTTCTGGGATACATGTGCAGAATGTGCAGGTTTGTTACATAGGTATAAACGTGCCATGATGATTTGCTCCACCCATCAACACGTCATCTATATTAGGTATTTCTCCTAATGTTATCCCTCCCCTAGCCCCTCACTTCCAGACAGGCCCTGGTGTGTGATGTTCCCCTCCCTGTGTCCATGTGTTCTCATTGTTCAACTCCCACTTATAAGTGAGAACATATGGTGTTTGTTTATTCTGTTCCTGTGTTAGTTTGCTGAGAATGATAGTTTCCAGCTTCATCCATGTCCCTGCAAAGGACATGAACTCATCCTTTTTTATGGCTGCATAGTATTCCATGGTGTATATGTACCACATAAGAAAAGCTCAATATTCTAATAATACCTATAACCATTATATATATATATATATATATATATATATATATACACACACACACATATATATATAGCAGACCAAAATATAAGAAATAAATATTAGATAAATATATATATATTTAGCAGAGCAAAATATAAGAAATATCAGAATAAATTTAAAGAGGATATATTTGTATTAGTAAAAAAGATTTATATGAGTTATAACTGACTGAGGTGTATATATTGTGAAACACCAGTGAGAAAGGAAAAGTTTTGCATGATTTTTCTTGAAATGGAAGAAAAAGTTTTGCATGATTTTCATGAAATGAAAAGTAAATTGAAAGGAAAAGATGTTGGATTACAAAGTTCTCTGTTCTGGAAATAAGAAATATTAACAATCTTGATATTTATAATTAAGAGTCTATTTGTGGAATTCAATCAATAGGAAGAAAGTTTTATCTCAGAAAGGGTTCCTGAAGCATGATTAAAGTATATAATCCACAATAATTGAATGATTGCCTACCTCAAACATAATCATATCAACCAAAGACAGGGAGTCTGCTTGTACTCAATACATATAAAATATTTTATAATATTACTATACAGTAATATTTCAGACTTACTATTATAATAGGCTTACTCTAATAAACTTGCTCTAACTGAAAGGCAAGGATATTTATTTAGGAAGGAAAAACATTCTATCATTACATGTAAAGGAACATAGCACTGACTGTCCCAAGGTACAAAGTCCAGGTTCAAAAACTCACTCACTTTATCTATGATCTCAGCAAGTTCTATAATCTGTCTGTGCATCAGTTTCCTTGCACATAAAACTGACTAACAATTGGCACTTATTCACAGGCTTATTATAAGGGTTAAATAAATTAAGTTATGCAGTGTTCCTAGTGCAGAACTTACAGGTAGTAACTGTCATCATTATGGTTATGTTCACTGGGTGTTCCCAAAGATTTATTATCAAATTGATTTTTAAGAAAACATTTCATTGACGTATAAAAGCACAAAAAAGTGCCCTACTTAATAAGTGGATATTTCTCAAAGTGTATATAGCCATTTAACCACCTAGTTTGAGAAACAGAAAATTATTGTTTCCTGAGAGGCACACTACTGTGAATGTAGTGTCACATTTGCTGTGTCCCCAAATGTCAGCAGATTATTGTTTCTTGGTTCAGTGCTTCATAGCTTCTGCAAATGGAACTTGTTTTTTTTTTTTTGTACAATTGGAAGAATGTGATTTCATTAACAGGTACTACTATTCTGATTACTGAAAAGTAAAATGCATTGACATTTAGATTCATAGAGTCAAAAGTTCTTATATTCCACTTCATTCATTTTAAAAAGCCTGATCAAATCTGGGTCTCCTAATCAATTGATAATGAGAAGTGGAGAACTATGTCTTGGATTGCAATCATATCACTGAAAACTATATACTTGATTGTAATCATGTTACTGAGAAATCTTCCTCTCTCTATCTCCTTTGAACATCTCCCTTTCTTCTTTTAAGTTCAACTATGCTAACTATACAGGTTTTTGTTTTCTTAAGATTTTTTTCCTTCTGGTTAACAAAGATCAGGTGAGCACTAGAATAACTTGAAATAGTGATTATTTTATCTGAAACTTACACCAAATAAAGAAGAGTCATCAGGTAAAAATTATAATGAACTAAATCCAAACACAACAACAACAACAACAAATGCATAAACAAAAATATGTCAATGTAGTTTATTATTTATTATTTACAGAACATCTTCAGCTAGTGGTGAGATCAGCCTTCACATAGCCATAAATGGAAAAGAAAATTACACCTCTTAACCCTTCCTTCTTCCATATATAGATGTCTTTTTTTTTATAAAAAATAAATAGTGTATGTTTGAGGTTTACAACATATGAGATATATACAGATAGGAAAATGGTTATTACGTGAAGCAAATTAACATATCTATCATCTCACATGGTTTTGTTTATAATAAGAGCAGGAAAAATCTTTTAAAAAATCTCTAGTGTAATACAATGCGGTTTTATTAACTTGAGTCCTCATGTTATACATTGGCTCTCTAGACGTGTTCCTCCTGCATATTTGCTATTTTGTATCATTTTATCAACGTCTCTCCATTTTCTTTCCTGTGCTCTCACCCGTTGGAACCACTTCTTCATTCTCTATGGCTGTGTATTTGAGCTCCATTTATTTTCATTCCATATGCAAGTGAGATTATGTAATATTTTTCTTGCTATGTCTGTCTTATTTTGCTTACCATGATGTCCTCCAGGTCCATCCATGTTATGGCAAGATGTCCTTTTTTAAGGCTGAATAATATTTCATTTCATTTCCTATAGTTGTACACATACACACACCCCATATTTCATTTCTTATAGGTGTACACATAAAAATAATTCATTTCATTTCCTATAGATGTACACATAATAATTCATATAATAATAATTTCACATAATATTTCCTTTCATTTCCTGTAGGTGTACACATACATGCACACACCCCATATTTTCTTTATCCATTCACTTGTCCATGAACATTCAGGTTGTTCTCATATCTTGGGTATTGTGAATAATGCTGCAATAAACATGGGAGAGCAGATATCTTTAAACAGTGGTGAATATCTCCTTTTGATATAGACCCAAAAGGGGGATTGGTATGTATATGGTAGTTCTATGTCTTCGGTATGGTAGTTACTAATGTCTTTAGTAAGTTCTATACTCCTTCATAATGACTGTACAACTCTACAGCCCCACCAAAAGTGTGCTAGGGTTCCCTTTTCTCCACAGCCTCATGTTGGTCCTTGAAATAGATTTAATTGAAATATGCCACCATAAGGCAAATTGAAACAGAATTAGTATTAATGTATCAAATCTTATCTAAAACTCATAATTTTCAACTTCGGAATTTTTCTTATTAAACATTTAATTTGAAGAAATGTATAACTAGGATGTAAAATAAGACTTGTAAAAGTTACTTTAGTCTATATGAATTTAAATATTATTTAAGACAATCAGTATATGAATATTTTATCTCATAAATTATAATAACTTACAATATGGCTTAAATTCATATTTACAAAATATTTGAGGGAGTTTAATATTTTTGGATGCATGAAAAACATCAATAAGTTACTTTTAAAATCCTGGATAATTTTTGACATAAAATTAATTTGTATTATCGATGTTTGAGAAATATACAAATAAAGTAATTGTTCATAAACATTCTATTGCCTTCATATCCCAATTTCATCTTGCCTTTGTGAATCAAGTTACCTGAGATTCCCAATATCATCCTCCTCTCTTCTACTTCTTTCTTCTCCTCCTATGACATGTTCTGTTAATTACAACATTTACATTGTTCCTTCTTTACACTGTCAGATCCACTATGCCTTCTTCAGTTGCCCTTATATAGTGATCAATTTCTTCCTGGTCCCTTTGCATCCAGTTTTTATCCACAAATGTATCATGCACTTTGTCACAAGCTATCCCAATATACAATATATCCCAATGTACAATTCTTTCTTCAATTATTTTGTTTTGTTTTGTTTTGTTTTAGAGACAGGGTCTCACTTTATCACCAAGGCTCAAGTGTAGTGGTGTGATGCTTGTAGTCCCAACCACTCAGAAGCTGAAGCAGGAGGATCACTGCAGCCTTGGACTCCTGGTCTGAAGTGATCCTCCTGCTTCAGCCTCCTGAGTAGCTGGGACTATAGGCATGCAACACCATACCCTGCTGATGTTTATTTTTACTTTTTGTAGAGAAGAGGTCTAGCTACGTTGCATAGGCTAGTCATGAAAGCCTGGCCTGAAGCAAGCCTCCTGCTAAGCCCTCCCAAAGCATTAAAATTGTAGGCATGAACCACTGCCCTCAGCCCTCAATGTATAATTCTGATGATTTTGTCCCCTTGCAAAAGACTTAAATATTTCTCCATGCCAATAAAACAATAGTATTTCATATAGATCTTTAGGCCCTAAAAATATATCTGTAAAACATATTCTTTAATTCTTCTTTAACTCTAACTATCCTAGAATGTAATGCCAGCCATTATTTATATTTTCCCTGCCTTTGGGTCTTCAAACTTTATACCAATTAAAGGCTATAAGATTTCTTTGTCACATGGACTTAGGGTCATAGATCTGGACATCAAGGGATTACTACAGATTTTAATTTGAGTTTTCAATATAGTCACATTATTTTTACTTGGAGTATAGGCTTCAGTTCAGCAAAAATAACAATGTTATAGAAGATACTTTTATTCAGACTGCATATAAGCATGAGGAGGTATCAGTGTTTCATATTTTAAAATATGGTTTGATGTGCGGAATGGCATGGATGATAAGGACTTCCAAGCCACTATTTGTGCTTGCACTATTATATTTAATGCACGGATGATCAATCAACCTTAAAGGTTCATTTTTTCTCACATTCTTTAATCCCAGTTTAAACAAGAATTCCCAATTCAGTGCCACTATCTAATGAGACTTATTTCAAATTGTACTTTATGGAGATAATTTGTTTTTTGAGATATCATTTTAAGACATTTTAGATAAGAGATATAAATACAGCCAATGCGAAATTTAGATAGGATATAAATGAAAATACTGTGCTGATGACTATCTTTTATGAAATAAGTTAAGAATTATTTTTATAAGAAAGAAAAATAATTTCTATGTAGCTATTTTTTTTGCAGCAGAAAGTCATAACAGTATTTAGTATTTCCAAAAATGAACATTGCAAGCCAATTCTAAAAATAATTGTACCACAATCTCCATCTGTTACAATGCTCTTTTAAGTTGTAGGATCCATAATTCTGTATTATAAAATGTCTATGTTAAGTACATGTTCTAGTGTAACTTTACCCTATTCCACAAACTTAAACTATCAATGGCCATATAATCACAATAGTAGTCTATTTTCTTTAGATGATGCTATGGTTTGAATGTGTCCCCGAAAAGCATGTGTTGGATATTTCGTCCCTAATCCAGTTTTTTGAGAGATGGTACCTAAAGGGAAACATTTAGGGCATGAGGGCTCCACCGTCAAGAATGAATAAATGCCACTTATAAAAGGGTTTGGGGCTGCATGTTTGAGCTCTTGCTCTCTCTCAGTCTGCCTTAGCTCTTCTGCTATGGGATGACTTAGCAGGAAAGCCCTTGCTACATGCGGGCCCCTTGATCTTGGACTTCCCGGATTCCAGAATGAAGAACCAATACATTTATGTTCATTGTAAATTACCCAGTCTGTGGCATTCTGTTATAAGCCCCACAAAACAGACTGAGACCGATGAAATAAATAAAACATTATTTTGAATAAGTGAATTAATAATTACAATAATACATTTTCCATCATGACATATTCTTTAAGGGAAATGTTATGCCCACAAAAATCAGTCTGTTTATTTCTAACTAAAGATAGTAGAATATAACAAAATAAACACTTAATAAAGAGTTTAATCCTGGAATTCTCAGGTATTACCTTAGTTTTACCATTAAATAGATTATACCTCACAGAGAATAAAAAATTCTTTGTCATTTTAAATCAGCTATTGGCACAATTATACTATGTAACGAACCACCCCAAAACCCACTGGTTTATACTGAAAGCATTTATTTTTCTTGCTTTCTGTCTGCAGTTCCCTTGGAGCAGCTTTGCTCCAGGCTGTGATTTAGCTGGGCTTGGCTAGGCATGCCTGAGCTTGGCTCCAGTTGATATGGATTCAGGTCTTTTTCAAGACTGTTTAGGCTTAAGGGGCCAAAGCTACACAGAGCATGCTCTTATGGCAGACCAGAGCAGCAAAAGAAAGTTAACCAAACTACAAACTTCACTTAAAACTTCTGCTCATGCCACTTCTACACATATCTCATTACAAACACACACACACACACACACACACACACACACACACACACACACACACATATAATTACGTTAAGTGGAAAATCATACTTTCAGAAATACAGCTGCTTCTTGAAGAGGAGGGACTATTTATTGGAGAGTAATTTGTGTTATTGCAGTCCAAACTCTTGTTCACAAACATCCTCTTTCTTTCCTCTTGCGTGTAAAATATACATACACACCTTCCTTATGCATCATTAAAAGTCTCATTTATTTATAGCCTTAGGCTAAAATTCTAGAATACTGAGAACATACTAAGTGTGAATGTAGCTTTTCTTGCTCCAGAGACCAGTAAACAAAAACATACATGAAACATGCAATTATGAAAAAAGAAAATAAAGGAGGTTCAGAACAACTGGTGGAATTGTGATATTTGAAAACGGAAATCATTTGAGTCATATAGAATTCAGTGGTATATGGCAACTGGATAAATGTTTTCACGTTACCCTTTGTTTAGATAGTTTACTGGTTTAGGATTCTTTCTTCTTGTTTCAAAACAGGTCCCAAATTCAATATTATTGACAGTATTTGCCTCCGCTTTCCAGGATGTCTCTCCTGTTCTTACTCCTTAGAGGAAATAACTGGAGACTATTCCCTCCTTGGCAACTTGAGACTCTTTTAGTCCAATTACAAGTATGATACTGGTGGCACATGCATTATGCTTTTTCATCTCAAATAGTTTCTTTTAATCCAGGGTGTGGGTGCTTTCATTAGCACAGCTGTCTGAAATATGTGGTGAGTTTTCTATGTATGATCTTACATAATTCCATTTTCCAAAAAACATACCCACACTTTGATTTGTGACTATACCTACCTACCTACCTACCTACCTGCCTACCTGTCTGTCTACCTTCTTCTTTGCCTCAGTCTAGACTTGACTACAGGTAATTTGGATAAAAACATAATGTGAGACTGGTGCGGTGGCTCACGCCTGTAATCCCAGCACTCTGGGAGGCTGAGGTGGGTGGATCACCTGAGGTTGGGAGTTCGAGACCAGCCTGATCAACATGGAGATACCCTGTGGCTACTAAAAATACAAAGAAATTAGCCAGGTGTGGTGGCGCATGCCTGTAATTCCAGCTACTTGGGAGGCTGACAGGAGAATCTCTTGAACCCAGGAGGTAGAGGTTGTGGTGAGACAAGATCGTGCCACTGTTCTCCAGCCTGGGCAGCAAGAGTGAAACTCCATCTAAAACAAACAAACAAACAAACAAAACTATAATGTGTAGGACAATTAGCCTATTAAAGACACCTTAATCCTTTTACATGTCTCTGATTTTATGTTTGTCTTGATGGCATGTCTTGTGATCTCATGTTGAATTTAGTCTTTTTCTAGCGGCTACTTTTTAATGGTCACAACTTTGGTTAGAAATAATTTTAATTACTATTCAGTTTCTTATCTTTCTCTGCTCTTTCACATTTCTGTTGACAAATTGGCTTGTCCTTTTCTAAGCCTATCAGGTTTGTTATTGTTATATCTTATCAAATATAGTTCACACTATTAAAGGTCTACCTATAAACTTCTTTGATAAAAGAAAATTAATTTACTAGATACATTTGTAGAATTTTTCCACTTAGTGAAATGACAATCTTTACCAAAAGTCATATTTCTACATAATAGATGCCATTGTTTTCTCAGCCTCTTAAAAGGGTTTCCTCATTACACATTACTATCAGCACCCTATATCTGGTATCAATTTCTGTATTTATCAGCTCTTGTCAAAATAATACTCTGAAATACAACATCCTGACTCAGTTGTTTAAACAATGAACATTTATTTCTCCATTCATTGGTGTAGATATTGGCTGAGGCTCTGTTTTTATCATTGGATCGGCTGGCTTTCACTGGGATTGGCTGGGCTTGTTTTCAGGCAGCAAATCTCAGCTTAGTTTCAGTTGGCTTCAGGTATTTTTGTTCTAGTGGCGTAGCTGAAAGAGAGTGAATATGTGCTGATCAGTTATAGAATCAATCACAGTTCTGTACTTCTCAATGCCATCATCTACAAACCGAAGATCATACTTCTGATCCTTAATATGACTCTTAAACTGAATAGTGATGATGTCAATAGAAAATAATTTTCATGACAGACATACTCGGTTAGCCACTTCCTACTCATATCTACATTTCTAGTTGTTTCAGTAACCTCATACTATTTAACATACTTCACTTTTAGAATTGGCAGAGATATTATCCATTTTTCTCTGAATAATAAAGTGGAAATAATAAATAGGCATGATTGTTAAAATACTCACTTTCTCTTCATCTGTAGTGATTCAGTTAAATGACAGTGATAATAGTGTTACTCCCCCGCTCATTCTAAAGCAAGTATACTTTGTGATGTACTTTATCTTATACTTGGTTAAGTGATTTGATGACTATTTAGCTATTGACTGATGTATTGCCTGGTATTGAGATACAACGGTTAGTTTATAAAACATATATATTTGAATATGTATTTTAGGAAGCTGTTGATATGATTTTCACAAGGGAGTATTGAATATATCTGATATATTTAATGGTATCCTAATTATAAAATAACATTATAAATGTACTTCTTTAGTAGCGGTACAACTTTGTAATATCATTTTTATGATTTGTAAGTTTCAGTATATACAATTACATGAAATGTATGCAGAATATGAAATATATATTGGCAGTCATATGCAATATATGTGATGTTGCACAGTAAATTAAATATTATAAGAAGATTAATTTTTAATTCTTCATCAAATTGAAGAAACTATTATACTTTGTAAAAGTCTCCTTTATTATCTCATTCAATAGAAATGTTGACTATTTTTCAAAAACAGTTGAAGTTTGCATGCATTATCAATGCCTTTTTAAATATCTTATCAAGGACTCCTTGAATATCTATTAATGTCCACAGCAGAAGCTTAATATAATTTTGCTAAAATTTGTCCATATTATTAAGGAGTCATGTTACTAAAGCATATAGGAATATAAATAGCTTATGATTAGAAATATTACAAAAATAAGATAAGGCTCTTGACTTTATTATATGCATTTTTATTTTTTGCTATTATTTCTACTATAGGTTTTAAATTTTAGGTTATTAAATTCTTCTTTGTCATAATGGTCCCAATTGGAATACAGAAAACTTAGTTATCCAGTCATAAGTTCTTAATGGGTTGTTTACTTACTATAGGAATTAATCATAAGTTTAGCTCAAACAAATGTTTAGAATAATTTATCAATTATTTTAAAAATTAATTTAAATTTGTGTGGAAGGATATATTTATCAATCTTCACAATATAGTTTGGAAATCACAGGAAGTTTTTTGTATTAGCATGCATCAAGTTATAACTTCCCCCAAACCCAAAATAAATGAATTATTATGCTAACTTTTAAACAACTCTAATATTTTCAATTATAGTCAAGGGATGCTTTCTTATAAAATTGCCTACAGAATGAGTTTCTAAATGGGAAAAACCAGGCAAAAGTGAACTTTAACCAAACAACTTTTTACAATGTAACAAGATGTATAAAAAAATGTATTATTATCTTTATGCACCACTTACTTTTCTACAAGATATAGTAGATAAGTAATAATTAAGACATATAATTCTCCCTTACTGATCCACTAATTGTTAATAAAATAATTTTTAATTTGTTTATATTTCAACCTGGATGGTTATCTATTATCTATGTATCTATCCATACATCTATCTTCTATCTATCCATTCATGAGAGCATATCAATTAGGATTGCATTTTGCTGCAAGTAACAGAAAATCCTAACAAAAATGGCTTAAGCAAGTCAATAACTCAGGGGATTATTTGTTTCACATGCCCAGAAGTATTGGATCTGCAGCTCAGAGCTAGTGGGAAGACCAGAGGGGTCCCCAGTGACTAGACGCCTTTTCTCTCCCTTAGTTTGTGGCTTTATGGCTATGTAGAAATATTTACAAGCAATGATAGTTGGCATAATGAACACACTTCAATATCAATGGCTTCAACATGGTAAGATTTCATTTCTTATTCATTCAAAGTCTCAGGTACTACCTTAAAATTTAACATAAATTGGTTAAATTCTCAGTATAAGGTTTGAGTTCCCAAAGAGAAAGGACTGTGCTTCTTCAATCTTGTTAGATTATTATTTATAATGATGCCAAGAAAAATTCAAATGCTTAAGAATGGAATATTACTAAACTAATATGGTTCTAGTTACTCTTTTGTGTTCTTCTTGTATACACTAGCACCATTGTTTGCTTACACACAGCACAAAGCATAGGGGCCATAGTGATGAATGCAGTAATTTCTAACCTATTAACATTTCCAGATTATTTGAAAACCTACATATTGTAATCTGTAATGGGACTGAATTTAGCAAAGGGAGCAGGGAAAGAGAGAGTGACAATGAGTTTATTTCTGGTCTTTATGAATTTCAGATTATCCTCTACTTGTCTTCTATTCATTTCTTATAAACTTCAAACTTAAATATTAGGTAAATGCAATAATCTGTTTTCACATTGTTAGTAAAGACATAGCTGAGACTGCATAATTTATAAAGGAAAGATGTTTAATTGACTCATAGTTCCACATGGCTGGGGAGGTCTCACAATTATGGTGGGAGGCAAAGGAGGAGAAAGCCACATATTTCATGGCACTGGGAAAGACAGCATGTGCAGGGGAACTCTCATGTATAAAACCATTAGATCTCCTGAGACTTACTACCACGAGAACAGTATGGGAAAAACCACCTGCATGAATCAGTTTTCAACACTTGGCCCCAACCTTGACACATGGGGATTATTACAAGTCAAACTGAGATTTGGGTGAGGACACAGCCAACCCATATCTTTCTGCCCCTGGCCCCTCCCAAATCTCATGTCCTCACATTTCAAAACAAACCATGCCTTACCAATAGTCCCCCAAAGTCTTAATTCATTTCAGCATTAACTCAGAAGTCCACAGTCCAAGGTCTCATCTGAGACAAGGCAAGTCCCATCTGCCTATGAGCCTGTAAAATTTAAAGCAAGTTAGTTATTTCCCAGATACAATGTGAGTAGAGGCATTGGGTAAATACACCTGTTGCAAATGGGAGAAATTGGCCAAAACAAAAGGGCTGCAGGCACCAAGCAAGACCAAAATTGAGCAGGGAAGTCAAATCTTAAATCTCCAAAATGACCTCCTTTGACTCCATGTCTCACACCCAGGTCGTGCTGATGCAAGAGGTGGGTTTTCATGGTCTTGGGCATCTCCGTCTCTGTGGCTTTCCAGGGTACTGGCCCCCTCCTGACTGTTTTAACAGGCTACCACTGAGCGTGTACTGTTTTTTCAGGCACACAGTGCAAGTTATCAGTGGATGTACCATTCTGGGGTCTGGTGAATGGTGGCCCTCTTCTCACAACTCCACTAGGCAGTGCCCCAGTGGGGATTCTGTGTCAAAGCACCACCCCTACATTTCCCTTCTGCATTGCCCTAGCAGAAGTTCTCTATGAGAGCCCCACCCCTGTCCTGTCTGGACATTCAGGCATTTCCATACATCCTCTAAAATCTAGGTGGAATTTCCCAAACCTCTTCTTGACTTCTGTGTACCCGCAGGCTCAACACACCATTTGGAAGAGGCTGCACCCTCTGAAGCTATGCCTACCTTGGCCCCTTTTAGCCATGGCTGGAGTGGCTGGGACACAGGGTGCCAAGTCCCTAGGTTGCACAGAGCATGGGGGCCTCAAGCCCAGCCCACAAAAACATTTTTTCCTCCTAGACCTCCAGGCTTGTGATGGGAGGGGCTGCCATGAAGACCTCTGACATGCCCTGGAGGCATTTTCACCATTGTCTTAGAAATTAACATTTGCCTCCTTGTTACTTATAGAAATTTCTGCAGTGGGCTTGAATTTCTCCTCAGAACACGGCTTTTTCTTTTCTATCACATCATCAGGCTACAAATTTTCTGAATTTTTATGCTCTGCTTCCCTTTTAAACATAAGTTTCAATTCCAACCATATCTTTGTGAATACGTAAAACTGAACACTTTTAAAAGTACCAAAGTCAACTCTTGAATGCTCTGCTGCTTAGAAATGTCTTCTGCCAGATGCCCTAAATTATCTCTCTGAAGTTCAAAGTTCCACACATATCTAGGGCAGGGACAAAATGCTGCTGGTCTTTTTGCTGAAACACAGCAAAAGTCACTTTTGCTCCAGTTCCCAACATGTTCCTCATCTCCATCTGAGAACACCTCAGCCTGGACTTTATTGTCCATATCACTATCAGCATTTTGGTCAAAGCCATTCAACAAGCCTCTAGGAAGTTCTGAAACATCCCACATCTTTCTGTCTTCTCAGAGTTTCAAACCATTCCAACCTCTGCCTGATACCCATTTCCAAAGTCACTTCCACATTTTTGGGTATCTTTACAGCAGCACCCGATTCTACCCTTATACATTAGTCTATTCTCATGCCACTAATAAAGATTTACCTGAGAATGGTTAATTTGTAAAGGAAAGAGGTTTAATGGACTCATGTTTCCACATAGCTGGGGAGGCCTCACAATCATGGTGGAAGAAAAAGAAAGAGAAAGACATGTCTTACCTGGTGGCAGGCAAGAGAGCTTGTGCAGGGGAACTCCCATTTATAACACCATCAGATCTCATGAGACTTATTCACTACCATGAGAACAGTATAGGGAAACCACCTCTATGATTCAATTATCTTTACCTGGCCCCACCCTTGACTTATGGGGATTATTACAATTCAAAGTGCAATTCGGGTGGGGACATAAACCATATCAGTAAGGAGATGTAAAATAGCAACCGTGAAATAAAACATTTGTGTAATATAAACTGAATACAAATTAAGCATTCTTAAATTAATTTAGTGATATACTTGTATTACATAGACTTACATGTGCATATATACCTGTGTGTGTGTGTTTAGCTAATTATATAGCTGCCTTTGCAATTGGTATGGAACAATACCTTGGATTACTACTTGAGGTATCTTATTTTATAATTCTATATTGAAAGCAGAGACTCCTAAACAATCTTAAGAATATTTTTTGTAGAAATTAAAATTCCAGAGAATTGCCACTGAGCTTTTAATGTGAATAACAATAATACAGATCCTTGTGTGTAATTTGTGTGATATATAAAATATCACAGTCATGTCTCTCAAATTTTTATTTATATAAAGAAATCTCATATGAATTTTGCTTAGGTCTCAAATGACTAGTATATATATTTGAATATAATGACAAGAAAACCCCAGAATCTATTTATTTTTCAACTCTGCTTTTTCACTACTGAAGCTTCATGTTGTATCTTTTAGTACTGGAAAGATCTTGTTTGTGTGTAGCATTTTTGTTGAATAAAATAGGAATTTAAGGCATACCTTCTGGAAAATATTTATTTTCAGAGGAATATTTCAGTATGACTTACACTTAGCACATATAAAAATAATCATAAACTTTGCATGTTACTTTAGGATTTGCATAATGTTCAATAATATTACATTCCAGTTATATATATTACTCCATATGGTTATACAGAGCAGATACATTTCCCAATATTTTTTCTTTTGTTTTTAACACCTTAGAATAAACAGAAAAGTGAGATTCCAAGGCTTTAAAAAAAAGCCATCTTTAATTATTTGAGTTGAAAACAAAAATTGTACACGATAAGGCAAACAAAATCTATATCACAGACTGTCTTGAAAAAAAATCATTCCCAAAATAAATAAGTATATTAAAAAATATCAATTACAAAGTTAACCTAAATTAGAAATAATTGAAATTCAGAAATTTTCACCATGTGCTACTGATTTTATTTGGAAATAAATAATTCACACAACTTTAAATCTGGAATTTTTTTGAGAAAAAACAAAATATTATACAATAGGTATAAATTACATATATACATAAAACATGTATATATAAATAATAGGATTCAGAGGCAATATAATTGAAAAGGTTGAACATATTTGTCTTATAAAATGTCTATTTAAATTACAGAAACTCTGTATAGTAGTTTGAAAAACAAATATTGCTCTTTAGGATTAGAACAACTACTCTTGTTTTATGTTCACAATTTTGTTGGGGATATTTCTTGATATCTCAACTCAATATTCAGAAAATTTATAATTTTTTCAAACCTATTTTAGAAACACATAATCTTACATTAAGTTAATACACTTATCTCAATATTCAGAAATTGAGCTTTGATAATGAGGTCATGGGTTATGATAGGAATTTGGTTACTTGCAATGTGCATTTATTTGTACAAGAATGATATATGAATTTACTGAACATAAAAACATTGAGGCTGTTCATTTCTGCTACAAAGTCATTCTAATCATCAGGAAGCAGAAAGATTTGTGTTATTCATTCTTTGCTGATACCCATGAATTTTGAAGTTCCAGATGCTGTGAGAATTTATGAGGTAGAAAGCATTACTCAAAGCCAAAGAATTACTGCAGAATTAACTAATTAGGATGCTTGGTCTTCAGAATCTATAGACTCAAGTTTATGTCTTAATGTGGCAACTATATTTGTTATATGCTTCTGCATGAGGAGTTTACCTTTCTAAATTTCAAAATTAAAACATTTTTTTTTTCATTTTTGAAGGGAAGGGAACAATTATGATGGCTAATATTGTTTGTGTGTCAGATTGTGTACTACATTATGCTATATAACACTTATAAAAAGCACAAGGAGTATGCACTAATATTTTCCACAATTTATAGAGGATAGTCTGTAGACTATGATATATAAATAGGCATAGAGTTGTTCAAGTAGTAAATAACAAAGCAGTAAAACATTTTTAAACAATCTGATTCTAGAGGTCAAACATGTAATCAAAACAGTCTATTGCTTTTTCATAGGACTTTTATGAAGATTTGATTAAAACCTGTTTCTAAAATTCAAAGTAAGATTCATTGTACATAGCAAAACTTCAAGATTTACCAGTTTTTATTACTATTAATATACTGGTTTACTTTCATAAAATATGTGAGTACTTTTAGTAAAAATCTACTTAATTTGTTCAAGAACAAATAAATACCAATTATAGCAAAGACACATAAATATCTCCTTAAATATAATATTTTAAATTAAAACACTTTTATACATTAATTTTAAAATAAATTACTTGCATTTTACTATCGTCATTTTTTTAAGTAATAAAGTCATCAGATCATGACATTCCTATATTTAAGACATTCCAAGGACTTTTCATCAACTTAGCATAGAATCAAAGCCCTTACCTGGTCTCATATGATCAGCACAATGTTTTTTCAGCGCCTCCAAACACATATTACTCCATCAGGAATAGACTTTTTGCTTCTCCTCAAATATATTTGAACATGGATGTTTCACTTGGTATATCCTCTGCCAGAAATCGTCTCTCCCCGTTCAATAATTCAGGACACATAATTTAGGTCTGAGCTCATTTATGAGCACAGCAAAGAAGCCATTCCAGTCAAATCTATTTAAAAGGTTTTCACCTCATTTTTATCCCTTAGCTAGCTTTATTTTTCTTTATATCACTTGAAAGTATGTTACAATCTATAATATTTTACTTGCTTAGTCAACGACAATGTTATATACGTTTCATAACAATGTTATTTTGTATTATTAATCTCATTATACCTGGCACCTAAAAGGGAGCCCAACACATAGCATAAAATAATAATAATGTTGTACTGATGAGTAAGTAAAGCCATATATGAGCCAACTTAGCAGTCTGGGAATTGAAGTCCCTTGTCTTTCTTGAATAAAATACACCGCTAATGCAGTCCATACAAAATCCAGGTTCAAATTCTTTAAACTTATATTAGAACATGAGGATAAATGGGAAATGATCTGAGTTCATTAATTTCTAGGTTGATGTTTACAAGTTATTTTTCTACTTTCATATTTTCTTACACAAAATCAGTTTGATAACATAGTTTAAAAATTGTATTAGAGAGTTCCAAATTTCCAAAAGCTCCAAATTTCCAAACCACAAATCTTTTGCTTTTCACATTTATATTCCATTGGTTTGTGTACTCGTTAACTGAGTTGAGTAATTTGAATAACAAGTATGAGTGAGACAACAGATTTGACAAAAATTCTTCTGTGGTGATCACCAGTGAAACTTGTGGGGAACTTAGGCTGACAAGGAGCCTGTTGTTCCCTGGCATTCAGAAAGCCAAAGCCACCAGAAGGGTACAGTCTACAGAAGGGAATGGAGAACATCTGTTTATTAAGCTAGTTAGTAATGAAAAGATATCTTCTACTATACATTTATTTGTATTTCATTTGAACTTTACAACAGCCTCTTGAAGCAAGTGAAAAACAAGCTTATTATTTTTATGAGGAAATCGGAAACTTAAATAAAAATACTCGTAAGTAACAAAATTGGGAATGAAATCAAATCTTGTTTCCCTTTCACTATGCAACATACTTTGTAAAATCTGAGGAAATGAGGTAAAAAATGTTTAGGCCATTAGCTTCTCTTCAATAAGATGCATTGTCTCTAAATAAGTTATTTCATGTATTTTAAAAAGAAAATGTTGCATCAGAATAGGGAAGAAATCAAGTATCTCATTGGGTAATGAAAAATACACACATATACATGCACCTACATACACACACACACAAACACACATACAGATATTATAGGCACTGCATTAGGAAATGCTGCATTGTATGAAGTTAGAATTCCTCTAGTGAGTGTAATGATAAAGCTTTAGCACAAGACTCTTTACTGCAGAAATATGAAAGGCATTTTTTATTTTCCTTGATGCAATTCACAGAAGTTAAGATATAGACTGCTTTTTCATTGTACCACCACAACTCTCAGAGAAAAGAGAACTTTCTAATATGACAGACATTTTGAGGATTTCCTATTTAGTTCAAAAATGTATATGACAAAGCCCATATGTAATTTTTTTGGTGTCTTGGACTTTTTAACAATTTCTTGAAGCTCATGTTCCCCACTAAGAATAAAAATTAAACGTATAAAACACATTGGACTAGAATACAGTAGATTACATTGAAATATAGTAATCAAAATATTAGAAAAACACATTTGTGATTAAGCAATCCATATACTTATTTATTAATAGATTAAATAAAAAGATCTAGTGAGAGGGCTGTTAATTATTTTTTTCAAGGTAATAGCAAGTGAAAATTATGACAAAAGGCAACTGCAATCACTGCAATATGATATGAAAATGTGTGAATACTATTTTGAGAAAGTCATGTAGTGCTTATTTTGTGGTTTGCTGCCTATATTCATATATAAGGAGAAGAATAATTTCCATTAATGTTAGTGAAAATAAAGATATACTGTTTGTCTCATAAAAGTTCAGGGATCCCTTTAATTCTGCTTACAAAACATGGCATTTCACAGAATGCAGAATAAGAATTCCTGCTACAGAATATTCTATGGCCCACGTATCCCCTTTTTTTCTTTTTATTTATATTTTATTCTTTATGTATATTTTACTTTTGATTTTATATTTTATTTCCCTTCAAAAACTATAATCAGTTCAAATATAAACATTGCACATTGTCAAAATTATATTCTACTGTTTAATATGATAGATTTTGACTTGGAATTAGCTTTGCAGCAATAACACAAAACATTAAATAAGAGAGTAAAAATATTGAGAGAAACTTCCTACCACAAATTCCAATTATAAAAATTAACCAACAATTATTCAAGAAAATAATATAGATATAAATCTAATGCTTTAAATATTTGTAAATGTTTTTTTATTTAAAAAATCCTTAATATTAAAATGTAAATGTAGAATACTCAACATTTTTATTATTTTTTAAAGGAAGGAGTTTGAAAAGATTCAAGAACAGTGCATGTGAATTAGGGGATATGTATATTTTTAAAGTCCTGAAGTATACCTAAACAGTGGAGTATTGAGAATTAAAACAGATAGAAAACAACAAAATCCCTTGCCCAAATGCTTTTGCAGCTTAATTTACACATTCATTGTTTCACAGGAAAATTCTGTGACTTCTACCTTCAGACCCAAATTCAGATATGTGTCACTGTCTTCTTGTATTTGTATTTGAATGTATGCTTAGGTGACACCCAAACAAAGCTGAGAGTTTTAGTGTGTAATCTAAGATGCATCCAAGCACCTACAGCTTTATGAGCGCTACTTTATTCGTTCAGACATGTATACCAGGTATATGATTCCCACAGTGGCTTGTGTTAAGGAATTGGTGAGAACATAGATCAAACACTTATTTTCATTAAAAAAATGCTAACACCTTCACATTCGCATTTATTAGGAAGTTAAACTGACAAAGTGAGAAGGAAGTCCCACATTTTTATTTGATTTGAGTGAGCTGGATGTTCCAGAAATGAGTGTTTTCTACCTTCTGGCCTTCTACCAACAAGAGTACAAAGGAGCCTGGGGTCTGGTGCTCTGGGAAAAACCACTGCTTTAATTCCCTGAGTCCATTTAGAAAGCCTCATCATGGAATCCATTCTTGATTATATCAGTCACTACTATTTGCCCGAAGTGTTTGTTCCTCGCAGATTATCTCTCAGATGGTTCAGATAAAGCCTCCTCTGATCAAAATATTTTAAATTTTGCTCCAGATACCACACACTTTCATTTTATCTTTTCCATTTTTTTTCTAAATTATTCAATAACATCCAGCATGTGCTATATTTTGCATTTTTTTCATTGTTTATCTTCTGATTTTGATTGTAAACCCTGCTAGATAAAGGAATTTTGTTTGGCTTATGTACTTGTATGTCCCCCATATTTTGAGTTATGCCTGGCAGGTGGTACTTGCTTGATGAAAAAGTTGTTGATGGGTTAATAAATGATTAAAGGAGATGTCTCCAAATAGGATATATCCTCCTACCAGTTTACCTTAGCATCTCAAATCCCAGTATTGATGACCAAATTGCTGCTTTCTCATGCCACCAGGCACCCTCATGATCTGCACATACTCTATTATCCTCCTCAGTTTTCTGAACAATAAAGAGGAAAATGATGCAGCTAGAAATTGTGAAATCATCTCTGTCTCCAGCTCTTGTTTCATGATCATTGCAGTCCTAGCCTCAAATATGAGTAGAACAGAAAAAGTTTCTGAAACGTGTGCTTCCTTTTAGAAGATTTGGAATCCCTGACAGTGATAGCTCTAACTTTCATCACTGGCATATCATTGTCATAGAAAGATATTCTAGTGTTACTTTTTTCACCCTTAACATGCATTTTCTTCCTCTGGTTATCATTCTCTTGGTTGAAGCAGCATCAATGTTTATCTTTAAATAAAAACAGACTATCATATTCTCATGAGAAACTATATAGATGAGTTCATATTTATAGTCTAAAAACATTAATTTATTTCATTTTTATGTTTTAGAAATGGTTCGTCAGAAATAACAAAGATTGAGATTTTCTTGACATTACCTCACTCTATCTTTAATATTTCCACATATTCATAAACTAATTTCTCTATATGTACATGGAACTCATTCAAGTGGTATGCTAATTTGACTTTATAACAAAATAAATAAATTATTTCAAAGTAATACAAAATAGTGACCATTCCTTCTTTTCTAAAGGAGAGAAGGAACATTGTGGACCCCATGTAAATTACTGTACTAGACTCATTGTGCCAAGTGCTTGGGTATAAGCAAAAGTTACCTGCCATCCTCTCCCCTTTTTGTGTTCATCTGTCTTTCTGTGTTCTTTTTTTCCTCTCTCTCCATTTGGTGGCATGCTCATTTTTCAATCACTTTACCTTGGCATCACTAACAAACCTACTTTTTTTTTTCTCCCACATCCAGGCTGTTCAACACATTTCAAAATTCTGTTATTTCTTCCTGTTCCTGTCCTTAAAAGCTGTCACTTCCTCTCCGTTTCTGAAGCCAAAAACCTCATCCTAATATCTTTATCTACAGCAACATGTTCTCCTCTTCTACTCAAAATTTATTCTATGGTTTATTTTATCAGCCACATAAATTAGCAAAATTCCTGTTTTCCATTCAAGGTGATTAACTATTTTACATTAAGTTTCTTTTGACTTGTTGGAAGCTGAGTTCTTTTTGATTCACCCTGGTGCTCTTCTTTCTGCATGTTCACGTGGAGACCTGCCCACTTTGCCTCTACACATTGTTTTCAATGCCAGACATGATTGGTTTATAATTCCTTTCATTCAAATCTCTGAGTTGAGAAAACTCAAACCTTACACTTCTGAATCAATCAGGATAGGTTAGGAAGTGCTGTGGTGACAAGTAAGCCCTGAACTGCAGAGGCTCACAACAAAGGAATATTTTTACTCAACACCATTCTCAGGTGTTGAGACCACTGCCTGTGTAGTAGTTCTATGGTGCCTTTACTTTAGGTCCAAGGTGGGCAGAGTAGTGTCTGGATAGAACATTACAGGTTTGCGGCAGAGGGACGTAGAAACGATGTACTGGCTCATTAAACTGTCTGCTTGGAACTGACAAAGTCCAATTCTGTTTAAATCTTGTGAAATTTAGTCTCATGACAATGCTCCAGTTCAACAGGGTGAGGATATATGTGTTACCTGCTGGTTTGCTGAAATCTTGAGCACCAACCTGTTTGGTCAACAGTAATATAACCTTCCCCGCCTTCACAGTCACTGCCACCAGCACCAAAATTTTGGTATGCATTTTGACCAAGAAAATTAAGTTGACTTGGAAATATGAAAGGTGTAATCTATCATCATCCCTCCGAAATGAGGTTGTCAATTTGAAGCAAGGCTTTGGCAAACTGTAAGTCTGTGTGGCAGAAGCAGGGCAAAAATCTGTCTTGGAAATGCAAGTTCCAGAAAGACAGATCAGAATGATGACATGAGGCTGCTGCAGCATCTTCGTACAGTTGTATACACAGGCATTATTGTTAGGAAATTATTTTTCCTTCACATATAAGAGGCCATAATATAGTATGTGAATGTCACCTGCTTAAAGTAATAAGTAAATGAAAAGAATCAATTAGCAAATGCATTAGGCAGGGTACCACTGTGGGAGAAAATGACTGACTTCAGGACTCTTCTCAAAAATCCAAGAGAGAGAACTGATGTGAGATTCAAAGATTTGCCATTCACAATTGAATTTGAACACTATCAAGGCAAGATTCCTGATTTTAACTAAACACAGAATACATTTGAATTTACTAATTGAATTCCAGTGCTACACTACTTTTTCAACTCTAGTTATTTAATATAAATTGTAAAATAGGCCAAGGCGGGCAGATCACCTTAGGTCAGGAGACGAGGCCACTTGACCAATATGGGGAAACTCTGTCTCTACTAAAAATATAAAAATTAGCCAGGCTTGGTGGCATGCACCTGTAATCCCAGCTACTCCTGATGCTGAGACAGGAGAATCGCTTGAACCTGAGAGGCGGAGGTTGCAGTGAGCCGAGATGGCGCCATTGCACTCCAGCCTCAGCAACAAGAGCAAAACTCCATCTCAAAAAAAAAAAAGAAAAAAAAAAAATTTACGGTTTTGTATGAAGTCTACAAAATATTAAGTTTATTGAATATGTCAGTTGATTTTAAAAGTTTCTTATTTTAGGAAATTATAATAATTCCAATTGCTTCTTTTGCATTAGATAACAATATCAACTGAATATAAAATATTAATGCCATGGATGATCTCAGAAATGATTTCCTACAAAGTCCCAACCTATCCTGGAACATTTCTTATGTGTGCTTGGGTAAGTAGTTTTCTCTGCTTCACATTTCTATTAAGCAGCTTGGTACATCTCTCATTAACATGTTATGTTATAAACAATTCTACTTTTTAGAAAAATCTTTCCTCTTGTTTACCTGAAGTCTATATTTCTGTAATGTCTAGTCTATTATCATGGTTCTGCTTACTGGAAAAAAAAAGGCCATTTCATCTTTTATATAAAATAACTTCAAACATTTGCCAATGACTATGGCTTCTTTCTTACCTTTTCCTTCTCCTTTCCTTCCCTTTTCCAAAATAAATTACTTAGTATATCTGATGTTCTCTGATATGACAAAAATTACAGATCTTATAACAGTCTGATAAAATTGCCCAGGACCTTTTCATTCATTTAAAAAATATTTATTGTCTGTGTATTCTGTACTATCAAGAACTATACTGATCCAGTTTTGAGTATTCAAATGCAGTTTCTGCTCTTAGGAAAGTTATAGCATGTTTGGGAGGCAGATATTTAGAAAAAATCCATAAGTTCATATATAGTAACATAGTATGATGCATGTTCTGAAGGTAAGTGACAGTGTGCTTTAACACATGGTATATAGAACAGACTACCCTGGATGGGCATGTTACACTAGCACTTTTATTAACTTAGCCTCCCCATTTTATTTCTTCTCTTACATCCTAAGCAGCATTAGCTTTATTTGCAGTAGCATTAAAATTGTGACAAGTTTCTTGTCAATAATACGACTTTAGTATTGATAGCTTAAAAGCATATAAAATATATAAAGAACTTTAAATTCTACCTTCCAATTTATATTTTGCCATAATATCTTCTATTAAAAAACCTGAAACAAATGAACAACAACAACAACAACAAAACAATGTCCACAAAACAAAGAAACAAACAAAAACTGAGGCAGGTTTTTCTGAGTTTTCATGAATTTGTTTTTTATTATTTAGAAGGAACTTAAGTTACATTTCAAGCTTAGTTCTGATGGATTGTGGCGAGGGAATGAGCTGCTATTTAAGTTGACCCTGAAAATCTTTGGAAAGTGTCAGATTATATCACAAGAGACAATTGCTGTTTGTACCCCTTTGCTAGAGTTCAACAGTAAGCCAGAGTGCCATGACTTGTTTTCATCCAGCTGAGAAGTAAAAGTCTCTTTTTATTCTTTTTACAACTTAGTAGTCATAGAAATCTCAAGAAAGGCCTAAGGTAGAAAATGTATTGAACTAGGTAGAACTTAGCAATTTAACGAAAACTGCTGTTCTTGTCCTGTAAAAATGAAATAGATGATTGAAACTTAAGACATTAAGAGGTAAAAGAAACTGCATTCTCAAGATTTTTTCTTAAAGGATCCAAGGAGTTCTGTTTTTCTCCTTTCTAAAGAAAAATTGTAGTTGTAACTTGCTAAAAGAAAGTGAAATCTTTAAATTTCATTACAAAGGGGAAAAAACAGAATCTGATCTAGATAATTTATGTGTATACAAGGTTCATTAAAAATAGTTTCTTATAATTTTTCACTGATGACAAAAGCAAAAAAAAAATTTTTCCTGAATTGATACATTTTCAGATTAATATTATGAATCTCACTTATAATTTATGAAAAATTCTAAGGTATTAATATATACGGAAAGAACAGTAGTTTGATTTGACCAATTTTCTAACATCTGAAATAAACACTTCAAATAAAATATTAGAATAAAATATATGTACTGCCAAATGGAAAGTTAATTCATTTTCTTAATCTATAATATATATAGACAGAGATGAAGAAAATGTGATAATTACAAAAAAGATGATGAGGAAACGCAGTGACTGTCTGTAAAACCAACTTTTTATTCACACCTTAGCATCATGCTGAAGCCCACTGAATGTAAAGGAAATACTTTTCCCATGTGTATCCATATTTCTCAAGTAAACTGAGGAGTCCGTATATTATCGACTTCAGTCTGTGTACATCTAAAGGGGGCTACTCTTGGCTTACAAGTCAATTTTTAAGATACCTGGGGCTTTGCCTTCTTTAACAGCCCTTTTGCTCAGAATGTTCTATGCTGTTTGGGCTTGCCTTGCAATTGATCCTCGATTTGAAACTGACAACTGTGAACCAGCGAGAAAGTGATGTGGCAAGAGTTGCCACGGCTGAAGAATATTCAAAGAAAGGTCTGCTTGGGCAGGTTACACTTCATGCTGGATCACAGACAAGAATGCAGATTCTTATCTCCTGAGACCCCTTAAGCCACAAACACTTTGAAATGATATATATAGATCTCACTATATATGTATGTATATATAAAACATTTGAAATGTTTTATATGTGTCTCACATATATATTTTTCAAAAAAGTTAATATAGTGCACATACTAATTTTTTTAATTATTATTTTTTGAGGCAAGGTCTCATTGTCACCCAGGCTGCAGCACGATCACAGCTCACTGCAGCCTCAATCTCCAAGGCTCAAGTGATCCTCCCACCTCAACTTCCCAAATAGCTGAGACTACATGGTGTGCCACCATGCTAGGCTAATTTTTGTGTGTGTGTGATTTTTGTAGAGACAGGGTTTCACCATGTTTTCCAGGCTGGTCTTTAACTTCTAGGCTCAAGCAATCCTCCCTCCTAGGCCTCTCAAAGTGCTGGGACTACTGGCATGCACCACTGTGCCCATCTCATACCAAATATTACATAACACTTTGAATAAATTCTGAGGCAGCACCTCATAATCAAATATATTAATATTTTTGTACCCAAAAGACATGATAGTCACATGAAGAGGAATAAATAGCAATTACAGAGCATGTTATTTCAATTCAGGTTCAATTTGCAAATGAGTCAAATAATTTAAAAAATACTAGATTTTGAAAACTCCATATATTTTGTTATTGTAGATAAAGTATTATAAGCCCATATTTACAAAATACTTACTGTGTATCTAAGATGTTTCAGGGAACCTGGAAAAAGAACATGGAAGAGTAAGAAAGACAAGTTCAACCTTTTGGGTTCACACAAATTTTAAGAACGCAGAGGTTTGGATTTACACAGGAAAGGATTGTATTTTGGGCTTTCCATGTGGGGAGGTGTGAGCATATCAGGAACAGGGCATTTTCTCATGCAGTGTCTCCCACAGCACTGTAGAAGCACCAACTGGCAATTACCTCACAACACTATAAATATTTTTATTTATGCCCTCTCTCTCACTAGACTGTACAATCCTTAGAAGCAGGAATTATGTCTTATTTATATTTACATTTGCTGCACCCCGTTCATTGCCTGGGATATGAAAAGCACTAAACATGTATTTAATAAATAAGTATAATAAAATGATTTCTGCCCAAGTTTTGGGGTAATAAGCCAAATCACTTAATGATTCTTAATTTTGTGTGCTAGATTATACTAAATTTACTCCTCAACTAATCAGAGAATGTTTATGAAAATAATACAGATTTCCACAGGCGTGGAAAGCAAATTCAAGTTCTGATACTGGTTTCCAGTACTAGGCAGGTCTCCTGTTGAGATTGCATCAATGAAAGCTGAAAAAAAAATCAGAGTAAGTAAAAGACACAATAAACTTGTCACAGGAATATTTTACATTTGAAATACTGTGAACTTAATTTGAATAAATGAGGATTAATGAATATCTGCTGAAAAAAATGGCATTTATTATTCCTGACTTCTACTTTTCCTCAACTGTTAAATAAAAACCAAATAATGACAATCTCTGTGCTATAGCACTGTCAGATAATTTTAAGAGTGAAATCATTTCATGTCAATATTATTTAACAGAGGAGATCAGGAAAGGAAGTAAACAATATGGGCTAAAATATTTTTAGAAAGATGCTTTGAGGTATGTCGAGAGATTGGAAAGACCACTACAGAAAAAAGAACTATCTTTTAAAAGATTCAAGTTAGTATTGTATAGAGGAGATGTAGTGATAACTAAATATAGGTAGATTTGAGAGGGTTAAACTGAAAGGTCTTGACAAGGGGAAAGTACATTGCAAGTGCCTAGGCATGAGTATTAAGGGATAATAATAAAATTTAGATCCATAAGTTGTGTTGCATTCTGATTTAATTTGTAAGATTTAATATGGAGATCATGGGTTTTATCCAGTAAAATGTGTTTTTCAACCTAAAATCCATAATTACATTCAGGGTGCAACAAATCGCACTGGACAATCACTATGCCAACAAGGGTTACTACATATTTTCAAAATTTGGAATTATAAGAAGTATTTGCAAGAGTTTCAGCAAAATTAACTTTCTAGGAGAGGAAGGATGCCAGATCTGGCAAAATCAGAAACTGATGAAACAATTTAGAAGCTTCCTTTTTCAGGGAATATGGGCCGTCCAAATGCATGGGTGTTTTTGCTCAGGAGAAGAATGGTGAGACTCAGGCAGGCTCATGATATTCAGATTTCAGGAGATTTGGCTAATCACAGCAGATCTCTAGCTAGGGGAAATAGACAAAGTAACACAATAGGCCACAAGGTTTAAGAGGGAAGGGAGAACGAATGAAGAAAGACCTGTGGTCCCAGAGGCTACCTACCTTAAGGTGCTGCCTTTTGACTAATTTAAAGCAGGCTGTGAACAGGTAAGGACTAGAAAATACTCCAGATAGGGCTACCGTGACCTAAAGAATCAAATGACCACGTCAGTGCTATCGTCAACATAGGACATATAGTCAGAATGAAAAAGAAACACATGAGCATATCTAGGAAGAAAGAAATAAATTTAAATTGAAAAGTACATTTTTTTTCAGTGTTCAAGTTAAAAACTGATGGATTCACCTTTATGTATCTTTTTGGTGGCATACTTTTTCATGTTTTCACATGTTGACTTACATTCTTTGCATTTAAGTTGCTTCATCTCTCCCCAAATCTCCTTGATCTGTCTTTAAGAATTTTCAACTGAAAAGTTTTTCAACCATACTGTAGGTATCATTTTTTGTGTGTGTGGAGGCAAGGAGTATTTCTGTACTAATAACTTTTTTTTTCTTAAAATTAGGGTTGTTTTTAATTTCTCACTTTTCCCTGGCCACTGAGAGAGAAAACTGATATTTAACAATGTAAACAGTTTGGAACTATACAGCTATAGAGTATACGTGTTATCAATTGCTTAGGAAAATATTTGATAGACATTAAAATACAGATTTCACACAACTAACAGAAAAAAGTCAGCAAGAAACATAGCTGAGAAATCAAGACTAGGATGACCTTCCTGCCTTACCTCCATGTATACAAATTATCTGTCTTGCTCATTCCCACATCAAGAAAGCACCTGAGAGGAACAGAATTACAGGCATACTTTGTTTTATTGCTGTTAGCTTTATTACACTTTGTAGATAACGTGATGTTTTAAATTGAAGGTTTGTGGCAATCCTGGATCAAGCAAATCTATTTGTGCCATTTATCCAACAGCATGGGCCTACTTCATGTTTTTGTGTCACATTTTGATAAGTCTCACAAAACTCAAACTTTTCCATTATTATTATATCTGTTATGCTTATCTGTGATCAGTGATCTTTCATGTTACTATTGTAATAGTTTTGGGGTATCAACAAACTGCGCCCAAATAAGATGTCAAACTTAAATGTGTGTTGTATGCCTTCTAACTGCTCCACCAACTAGCTGCACTCCCTGCTGCTTTTCTCCCTCTCCTCTTTCTGTCTCTCTCTCTCTCTGCCTCTCTGTCTCTGCTCAGGCCTCCCTACTCCCTGAAACACAACAATATTAAAATTAGGCCAATTATAACCTTACAATGGCCTCTAAATGTTCAGGTGAAAGGAAGAGTTGGACATCTTTCACTTCTTTCACTTTAAATCAAAAATTAGAAATGATTAAGCTTACTGAGGTAGGCATATTGAAAGCTGTGATAGGCTGAAATCTAGGCCTCTTATGCCAAACAATTGCCAAATTGTGAAACAAAGGTAAAAAATTTCTTGAAGTAAATTAAAATTGACATTCCAGTGAACACATGAACGATGAGAAAGTAAAACAGGCTTATTTATTTATGGAGAAAGTTGTAGTGGTCTGGATAGAGGATAAAACCAAATCACAACATTCCTTTAGCCAAAGCCACGTCCTAATTGGGTAAAGTCCTAGCTGTCTTTAATTTCTTGGAGACTGAGAGAGATGAGGAAGCTGAAAAAGAAAAGACAGGAGAGAGCAGCGGTTGGTTCAGGAGGTTTCGTAAAGAAGCTCTCTCTATAACATGCAATTACAAGGTGAAGCTGCAAGTGCTGTTGTAGAAGCTGCAGCAAGTTATCTTAGGAGGTCTAGTTAAGATCATTGATGAAGGCAGTTAACACCATACAACAGATTTCCACTGTCGACATCTCAGCCTTCTATAGGAAGAAGATGCCATCTAGGACCTTCATAGCTAGAGAAGAGAAGTCAATGCCTGGCTTCAAAGCTCTAAAGGACAGACTGATTCTCTTATTAGGGGCTAATGCAGCGGGTGACTTTAAGTGGAAGCAAATGCCATTTACCATTCTGAAAATCCTCAGGCCTTTGAGAATTATGTTAAATCTATTCTGCCTATGCACTATAAATGGAACAAGAAAGCCTGAATGACAGGACATCTGTTTATACCATGGTTTACTGAATATTTTAGGCCTATTGTTGAAACCTACAGTTCAAAAAATATGTCTTTTCATTTTCACAATATTACTTGTCATTGACAATAATATTGACAATATTACTTACATTGTCATGCACTTGGTTACCCAAGAGCTCTGATGGAGATGTACAAGGAGATTTGTGTTGTTTTCATGCCTGCAAACGTAACATTCTGCCACCCATGGATCAAGGATTAGTTGTGACTTTCAAGTCTCCCTATTTAAGAAATACATTTTGTAAGGCTATAGCTTCTATAGATAGTGATTCTTCTGATGGATCTGGGCAAAGTGAACTGAAAGCTGTGTGGAAAGAACTCACCATTCCAGATGTGATTAAGAACATTCGTGATTCATGGGAGGAGGTCAAAGTAAAATTAACAGAAATTTGCAAGAAGTGTACTTCAGCACTCTTGGATGACTTTGAGGAATTCAGTCCTTCAGTGGAGGAAATGACTGCAGATGTGGTGGCAATAGTGAGAACTAGAATTAGAAGTGGAGACTGAAAATGCTACTGTATTGCTGCAATCTCATGATAAAATTAGAATGGATGAGAAGTTGCCTTTTATGGACGAAAAAAGAAAGTGATTTATTAAGATGAAATTGTAACTCCTGGTGACAATGCCGTGAACATTGTTGGAACGACAAATAACTTAGAATATTACATAATCTTAGTTGATAAAACAGCAGCAGAGTTTGAGAGGATTAATTCCAATTTTGAATGAAGTTGTACTGTGGGTAAAATGCTATCAAACAACATGGCATGCCACAGGGAAATCTTTAGTGAAAGAAAGAGCCAATCAATGAGGCAAACTTCATGGTTGTATCATTAGAAAAATTTCCCACAGCTTCTCCAACCTTCAGCAACCACCATGCTGATCAATCAGCAGCCATCAACACTGAGTCAAGCCCTTCCACCAGCAAAAAGATTACGACTCTCTGAAGGCTCAGATGATTGTTATCTTTTTAGAAATAAAGATTTTTTCTAAATTAAGATTTGTACAGTTTTTTGACATAATGCTATTGCATACAATGTACTATAGTATCTTGTAAACATAACTTTTATAGGCACTGGAAAACCAAAAATTTGTGTGATTCACTTTATTGCAATATTGGCTTTATTGCAGAAGTTTGGAACAGAACGCACAATATCTTCAAGGTATGCCTGCACTAAAAACAACTGGGAATCAGTATTGAGAGAACAAGTGTGCCCTTGGGAATCCATCAAAAGTAGCTTAATAGAACAACATCATCTTTACATTAGGTGTAAAATATCTACATTATTTAACTAAGTACAAGTATTTCTGGAAATGTCTTTGGCACCTTCCTACCTCCATTAGAATATACATCATCACCATAATCAAAAAGTCAGTTTATTTTTTTCCCATTTTTTTCAATATTACATTTTGTGTAAAAAATTGCATAGAACATTGGGAGGCCTTTATAAAGTTTTATGATAGCTGCTACATTCATTCAGCTGCATCCGCAGGGTAGAGATAAGGGCTAACTCTGATAAAATTAAGTGAAATTGCTTCTGTCACCACTCCACATGGTTCTTTGCTTCTGTCTCTTACTTATTAACTTTTTTGCAGTAACTCATTAGCAAGCTGACCATAAGATGCCTTATGATGACTGAAATCTCCCTGTGCTTCAAACAGGGTTATTTGACCCCTAACTGCCTGGTATCCCAAAATTTTCTTTCTACTATCTCTGTCCAGCTAAATTCGATAATTTCTTGAGAGAAGAATAAGAGTAGATTAGATACATTTCTTTATTTTTTTGGTGCTTATTTTGTGCTAGAAGTCTGTGTAGTGACAATTTTAATGCCACAAACGTTATTGACTATTGGATCTTTTCATAGTTGCCATGTCATTTTTATCTCATTTAACTTGAGATTTATGAAATGTTTACCTACCTGTCTAGTGGATGTTTACACTAACAGAAAAAATGCAGAGAGGCAAACAAAGTAGAATTAATACTCTTATTAGTGATTGTTATTTTGACTCCTGGTCTTCACGAAGATTCATAAGTACTCAAAATAAATTCAATAACTATTTCATACCTAATATGAAGATAATGCACACATAATAATTTTAATATGAGTTTTTTCCTCAAAGACATTTAAATATAGAAGAGAGGAAATTATACATGCACGATAATAATACAAGATCTAGCAGTATAACAAAATTAATTTCTCCCTTAATGTTTAGTCTTGTCACAATACTCATTAATGTTAACACAATTAAAAAAAAAAACTCTCTGAGGATCTCTGAGGGAATTAGGAATTCTGATTAACCCTAAAGATAATCTTCCAAGATATTCTTAGCATGTGAAAATGTCATTTTAAAAAAAAATGGCATGGGGTTATTCATTATGCTATGGCATAGGTATTGGGAAAGAAAAAAAGGGCTACCTAAAATGGTGATAGTTACATATGAAATAGTATATGCAAAGAAACCTTAATGAAATGGGGTCGCACAATGCTGACCAGGCTAGCCCTGAACTCCTGGGCTCAATCACCCCACCACTGCTTCCCAAGTAGCTGGGATTAAAGATATGCATCATGCTTGGCTAGATTTTTCTAAAACAATTCAGAAGATTTCTAAAATTTTCAGCTTACAGAAAGAGTGAGCTAGAAAGAATACTGTTGACATCCTGATAATAATAAAATATCTGAAGAAACTGCAAATTAACTGTTCCTTTGAAGCTATGAGAGACCTGAAATTACAGAGAAACCAAGTAATCTGAAATCTGGGGAAAGAGATGTCCAAGAAATTACTTACTTGTGGCTGATTTGCAGAGAGAACACCAGTAAACACTCTCACTTGAGAACACGAGTGGAAAACCACTGCAGCTCATGAAAAGGATCTACCCTTGAGATAGGGGCAAGCATGTTTTACCCAGTTATGAGTGGGAAGGTTTGGTAGTCATGCGTAAATGCAGAGGTTTCCATATTGTAGGTCCTAATGAAAAGAGGAAATTAGAGTAATGCATAATGTTAAATATGGTAGTAGGTAGAATTAACCAGATAGAAATCAAAACAGGTAGGAGTTTGAATTTTTGTAATAAAGAAAGCAACCAGAATGAGCAAAGACATGGAAGCAAGCCAATTGGGCTTATGACTTATTAGTTAGGATTTTAATAGGGCTGCAACAGAATCTATTTGTTGAGATACAATTATAGATAGGGAACCTAAGAACAACAGTGAAAATTCTGGCATACTAGGGTGAATTGGATTAGATTATTCTTGAATACTGGCAAATAGACATTCTAGGAAATGCAAAGGCTGATTAACTTGGAACTGACATTGAGATCACAGATACGAGTCTGGAATTAGGTGCAAGATTGAGTATTGATTAGCTCTAAATGTATTGAAAAAATATGGTAGTGGGAGAGCTTACTATGAAAATAAATATAATCTAGGTATACCATTCAGCTTCAGGGATAGTGAGGCAGCAAGGAGAAATATACAGTCTACTAGGCATGATATAGTCTTTAAAACACGTTTATCAAATTACAAAAGAAATCTGGGCACTATGAACCTGTAAGCAATCAAACAATTTATTAATCAGATAGGAAGGTCATCTATTTATTCTATTTTAGACAATTTTGGACCCAAAGGCTTTGGGAGAAGAAAAAAATCAGAAAAATGTGAGTTACATTTCATGACAAGGAAACTGTATTAATTTTCTAGGCTCCTATAACAAAGTATCATATGTGGGGGGTAAACTTAGGGAAATTTATTGTCTCACACTTTTGGAGGCTAGAAGCTTGAATTCAAGGCATATGTTAGGGCCGTGTTCTCTCTGAAGCCTTTAGGTAAGTTATTTCCTTATCTTTTCCAGCATCTCATTGCCTAGGCATTGCTTTGCTATGGGACCATAACTCCAATCTCTTCCCGTCTTCACGTCTTTTCTCTGTGTCTGAATGTCTCTAGGTCTTCACATGGCACTCCCCCTGTGATGTGTCCAAATTTCCCTTTTCTCATAAGGACCCAGTCACATTAGATTAAGGTCTACCCTAATGACCTCTTTTTAACTTGATTAAATCTGCATAGTCTATTCCCAAATATGGTCACATTCACGGGTACTAGGGATTAAAACCAACATACTTTTTTTTTTTTTTTTAAGAGGGAGAGGCACAATTTGGACCACAACAGCTACAAACAATAGAGAAAATTGATTTACAAATCTTATATTATTGGGAGAGGCAATAACTAACAAAAGGCAGCATAACACTAGCTAGTGTGTACTTAGCATTCAGTGTGTCCTAATTACTGTCCTAAGCAATCAAGAAAACTATTACTTTAGTTAACCCTTATAGAAACCACGCGAAGTAGGTATTATTTTCTTTTTCTTTTTCCCTAAGACCTCATAGATGATGAGTGGTAGAGCCTAGGTCTTCACCTATAGGCAACATGATTGTGTTCTTAGAGTAAGCAGGTGATTTAGTCACATGAGATTATAGAAAACAAAGTTCATGAGATTTCTGGTATTAGCTAAATCAGTAATAGTTAGAAACTAAGAGCCAAATCCATGTGATACCTTTTCATTAGAGTATCAGAGTACGAAAACATGTTCTTATATTTGGAAGAATAACTCAGATATCCATAGTGAGACACCTAAGGAAACCAAAAAGAGACAGAGACTCACGTCTCCCAGGATATGGAAAGACAGAACTCATGAGATTAGCTGAAGACTTTTGGAAGACTTTTTTAGTGTTACCCATAATATTTACGCCAGCTTGATGTGGCTAGGAAAATTATCACTGCAAATAATTACATTATTAAGGACAATTATCATTGCATATAATTACATTATCAATTCAAAAGTAATAAAAGAAAAATAAAGGCAAAGATCTGGAAGAGGACATGGAGAAATATAATTTAGAAGAGTGGATTAGAAATCAGGATTGTATTATGGTAGAAACTGTATTAGAATTTTTGCAAAATTCTATGTGCTGATACAATAAATTGATGATGGCAGAGAAAGGAATTCTGTATTGAGAACTGGTTGTTAAGCTTTCACAGGTCAGAAGATGTGGAATCATCACTGAAAAAAAGAAATTTTGTGCTTGCTGCAGATGGAAATCAAGGTGACTAAGAATGTTGATGGTCAAAGGGGAGGAGAAATGGTGCAGTAGCTTGTTGACACAGTACTTTGGAGAAAACCTTGTGAGTGTGTTTTACTAAAGAACACTAGTGTAAAATAACTACTGCTATAAGTACAGAGCCATATAATTGATTTTTCTCCCTTTTCCAACTTGCAAGCATTTGGAAAGATCCAGTGATTGATTAAAAAAGGTTGAAAGCATATTAAATAGGGTCCACTTCTATTATAAATGAAAGATTTGCTTGATCTTTACTGCTCTACCAGTAGCAGTAACGATTATGCAAACTCAAAAGCTAAATATATGGATGTTCAGGTTTCAGCTACAGGAAAATGCTTAATTCTCTCGAATAAGTGGTCCAAACTCTTTGATATCATTTTGTTTTCCTGGATAACATGCTGAGTAGCCTGAGTGAAAGTTACTTGGTTTGAAATACAAAACGTACTCCTGAAAAAAGTTAATAAGCAAAGACAATATAATAGTTTCGTTCAATTTAGCTGTTAGCTTTATTCAAAACAACCGAGAAGCTGAAAACTAAATGATGCTTTGCTAAATTATTTTTTTATGAAATAAATTATAAATTTGGGATGACAACGTATTTAATTGTGATGTGATACAAAATATTTATTTATGTAACAGTACTGTAAATTGTAGCAGTCATGAAGACCAAGAACCAATCCAAAACACTTTTTTTTGTAGGCACACCTAACTAATTTTAGTAGAATCAGGCAGAAAAAACAGACATACAGAAACAGATTTTTTACCAGGATCGCTGTACCCTTGTGCTGTCCATGGTCCTGGAGAAAGACATCTCCTGCTGGGAGTTATGAATGAATATAAGCTGTTTTGTTATTCAGAGAAGGTACTTCTGCTTGGAACTTTACAAAACAGTATAACTTCATGGGGTTGAATGTCTTTGAACAGTAATTCATTACATATCATACTCTCAGCTGTTTTAGTATTGTCATTCTTAGTACCTACACTTACTTTTCAGTGCATTTTTCAGAATGTTCTCTTATTTTCTAATTGCGGCTGAAATAACATTTTCAAGCACACCATCCAGAGTTGTGTTGTTCCTTACACATCACACTGCATTCTTCCAGGAATTATATTTTCTTGAAAATGAAAGAATGAGAAAGCAATTTTATCTTTTATTTTTCTCCCACACGTATCTTTTGCCTCAGAAATGAATTTCAATATCTTTCCGAAGAAGCTTGCATTTCAATTATTTTTTCAGGGCCTGACAATTCAGATTTCCCAGATGATAAATTAAACGTGTAATGCTTGATTTTATGTCACATTTCATTTTATGCAACTGGATAATACCCACGTGAAAGTTATTCCCTGGAAACAGACCAATAAAGTACCATTCAGTACACTGCTGATTCAATACACAAAATAGTACTTCAGTATTCAGAAACAGTTAACAAGACATCACAAACTATGTAACTTACTTTGTGGAGATATTTTAATAATACCAATTTCTTTATAGTTTGCAAAGCAATTGCAAAAGTGTTATCATTTTGTACTCTTAAAAAACCAAGAGATATCTATTGCTGTCTCCAGTTTTTTTTAAAAAAATAAAGATATTATGACAGAAAGATTCTCTTTTGCTAAAGTACACTTGGCTGTTAAGTGGTAGGGCTGAGCATTTTACACTGACCCTTTGACAATACGTTTTAGGCTAGTTTCTACAGTACAGCTTCCTGTAGTTTTGTACATGTGAGGCTATTTAAGTCATCTTCTGAGAAAAGAAAATATTCTTAGTGTAAGATATCAAACTAGCAGCTTTTAGTGCATAATCTGGAAAATGCAAAGCAGAACTACCTTAAAGTGTTTGAAATTCACAAATTCTATAAAATAGTAATTGAATGAAAATTAAAATATGTAGTTATAAACAGTATAAATTATATTTTTCTTTGTCTAGGGCTTTTGAAAAAAATATGATTGTTGGTTAACAGAACAAGTATTTCTCTAGCACTACAGCAGACGTTTTCTTTCTAGTGACATGCATGAGTGGGTGGTGAGTATTTCAGATCAGAACATTGAGTTCTTGTGAACAGACAAAGAATATATAATGACTGGGTTTACTTTCTCTGTCTTTCTCTCTCTGCTAAGCTTGGTCATCACACAGACTTTTAGAATTAAACGCCAACCCTTCTTCAAAAAGGAAAACAAGAAAGCAATCCTATATAAACCTTGGCTACAGATAACCTCTACAAAAGATCATTTCTTTATGCTTTTTTTGAGAATAATTCCAAAATGCTTAATCAGACAAATATTAAATTATATTTTCTCCTTTTTGAGGATCAGATAAAATGAAAATGTGTTTTGGTTATAATTAAATACATATGTCAAGTTCTAAGGAGATATTTCTTGTATTCTACTTAAGAAAAATGCAGGTAAGATTTTGGAAAAGGATGTCTATTAAGTCAAGGAAAGTTTTTCATTTTTATAGGAGGTTAGGTTCAACACAGAAGCAAAGAAAAACGTAGGTTCATTTTTTACTCTTGTATAAGTAACATACAAAACAAGAATTTACACTGAGGCCACATGTTTTTTGAGCAAATAAGACATATCTTTCTTCTTTTTTTTTTAGATCGAGTTTCACTCTTGTTGCCCAGGCTGGAGTGCAGTGGCACGATCTTGGCTCACTGAAACCTCTGCCTCCCAGGTTCAAGTGATTCTCCTGCCTCAGACTCTCGAGTAGCTGGGACTATAGGCACTCGCCACCAGGCCCGGCTAAATTTTTTTTGTATTTTTAGTAGAAACGAGGTTTCACCATGTTGGCTAGGCTGATCTCAAGTTGCTGACCTCAGATGAACTGCCTGCATCGGCCTCCCTAAGTGCTGGGATTACAGTTGTGAGCCACTGCGCCCAGCCATTATTTATTTATTTATGTTTTTAACATAGGTCTTCACATTTCAGAGAAGTGACAGCAATATTTTAGTTCAGGTTTATAGAATTCTGAGTTGTCATCTTCTTGGCAGAAAAACTGAGTAATCTGCTTGTAATGCTTGTGTACTACATATTATACATGTGAATATGCACAATTTACTCACATTTACTGTGTATCAGGCATCAGTTTCCCTTTCTGAAAATAAAAAAAAAGCAAAAAGGAAGAATTAACTTGAGAATTCATTGAAAATATTAAGTTTTTTGGTTATTTCTGGTAATTACAGAGAGTGTTCCAGACTAAGGAAATAAATGCTAAGTAATCAACATTGGTTTTTTTTCTTTTAAAATGTAAAAGGGGACTAGAAGAAATACATGTTCAGTATTAGATAAAAGGCTTTCAAAAACTATATCTGTCATCCTTAGCTCCTCACTTACTCCAAGTTTATGTAGAAAAGGCTAGAGATTCAGTCGATTTGAGATGGGGGATGTCTTTGACTTGAAAAAGACTTGTCAGAGTCCTCTGCATTTTACATCGCTTTGCTCTCTCCAAGAACAAGGGATTTTTTTTCTTATTTCAAGACGAGCTCAGGAAGTTTCACGAGATTTGATGAGATAGGGAAGGCTGGTCTATACGGAGACGAGACTGACATCAGTCATTGCTCCAACAAGATGCTTTCTTAGCTGACAAATCTTGGCTTGTTCTGTGTTGCTATTGGAGAGAAGTGTGTCGAAATGGGTTTTATGCTCATGAAGCCTGCCCTTCTGAAGTGTTTGATCAATGCAAACACGGACTCATACCTTTTGTCTGGAAAAGTCTCAAGGTACTAAACTGGCTTGGCTGAATTCACCTGCAGTGGCAGAGCAAAGGGAATATTGCAGTGAGAGTTTGTGCTGGGTTTCTGAGCCTCTAGAGATGAAACTAAAGCTGTGTCTCCAGTGGTCAACTTGAAGGGACATCCCCTTTGCAAGGAAATGGCAATATTGGAGGTCTCCTTTGCAGAGTAAATTGCCTTTAAAAGATCCCCAGTGCACCCCCATGAAAGAATAAAAATAACATTTGAGTATGTTTGCCATTGAAAGTATACCAATGCTAGATTACAAATACACCAGCCAGGGCTGAGTATGGTGCCTCATGCCTGAGTATGGTGCCTCATGCCTGTAATCCTAGCACTTTGGGATGCCAGGCTGGGCAGATCACTTGATGTTGGGGGTTCGAGACCAGTCTGGCCAACATGGCATAACTCCGTCTCTAGAAAAAATAAAAAAATTGCCTGTCGTGGTGGGGTGTGCCTGTAATCCCTGCTACTAGGAAGGCTGAGGCATGAGAATCGCTTGAACCCGGGAGGTGGAGGTTGCATTGATCCAAAATCTGGCCACTGCACCCCAGACTGGGTGACAGAGTGAGGCTCCCTCTAAAAATAAAAATAAAAAAAATAGCCACCAGGTAGTACCTTTCCAAGCCCATTGTCACACTTCCCTCCCTATTCCATCCCCAGAGGAGCCAGAGGCAGCCCAATCTAGCAAGGAGAAGCAATAGATGCCTCAAGAAGGGATATCACACCTTTTCCTGCTGCTCTTTGGAATTTTCAGACCCAAGTCCAGGCAGGGAGAAGATGTGCTTAAAATGGATGACAGCTTATAATGTTGATATTAATGTTAGCTGGACTTCTTTAATATATGAAAATGAGTTTTCCAATATCGGAAAGTAACCAAGAATAATTTTGCATATGAACATACTATCCAGGGGCAAGAAAGTAAGAGCTGACAGAGATTACTTATAGGAAGAGGTGAGAAAGAAATATGGTTTTTATACATTGTACAGCATTGAGTTCAGCTTTGTAAAACTATCAGTACTGCCTTATCAATTACACTTTCAAAAAAATTACTCAAATATATTACTCAAAGTATTACTCAAATATGTCTTTGATCCTCATTGGTTTCATATTAGTCCAAACCACTGACTTGTCTCACCTAAATGATTGCACCAGTTCCTGATTTGATCAGACTATGGTCTGAAAATTTCACAGAGCAGCTGGAAGACGGTGTGATATCCCTTCTTGAGGCATCCACTGCTTCTCATTAGATTGTGCTGCCTCTGGCCCCTCTGGGGATGGGAAACAGGAAGGGAGGTGAGGCAATGGGCTGGGGAAGGTATTACCTAGCTGGTATATTTGTAATCTAACATTGGTATACTCTCAATGGCACATATACTCACGTGATATTGTTGTTATTTCATGAGGGTGCACTGAGGATCTTTTAAAGGCAATTTCTCTGCCGAGGAGACCTCCAACATTGCCATTTCCTTGCAAATGGGATGTCCCTTCAAGTTGACCACTGGAGACACAGCTTTAGTTTCATCCCTAGAGGCACAGAAACCCAGCAAAACCTCTTCCTGCAACATTCCCTTTGCTTTGCCACTGCAGGTGAATCCAGCCACTCCTATTGTTTCCCCTCCCCTATTTAACTCTACAGAGCAAGAAAAGTGATTTTCTCAGAAAATAATTAGGTCACATGTAACTTCTTAATTTAAACATTTCAATGGCTCCATATTACGTTTACTACAAAATCTAGACTGACTTGGCCCACATGATCAATTCTTCACATGTTTCTCTACCTTCTTTGTAAGCAACTTCCCCATTTCTTCCCTATGTTTCAGACTCCCTAACCTCCTGTGATCATATTCTGGCTATTGGTAAGCTCTTTCTTGCATATGATTCCCAGTGTCTCTTCTCTCCATCTCTGCAGATAGCCAAATTATCCAAGTCCACATTCCCTCTTCAAAGAAGACTTCCTTGACCTCCCTACATAAATGAAGTTTCCTATGCATTTCTTCATCTCAGCTAATTGTTTTCTTCTTAACAGTATTTGTTTGCAACTCCTCACTCTATTAACAAAAATATTAATTGTATGCTTAGTTTTTTTACTAATTTTTTTGTGTGAAAAACAGTGTCTCCACACTTCAAACAGTGTCTGCACATGGTAGATGTTTAATGGAATGAACTCTCATGTTACTATTATTATCTTTTGGAGGCCCTACAAAGAGCTGTGGAATGAAGGTATACGTAAAAAAAAAAAAAAAAAACCTTAACTACTTACTATTTATGCCATTATTAACTTGAGCTTATTTTTTTGTCAATAAGACCTAGGTTTAAAAATTGTGCTCTGTATGAATTTCAACACATTTAATTAACTAAAATCTTGGCCTTTTATCTGTTAAATAATAATATAGTAATACTTGGCCAAACAATCTATTAAGTAAAATACAATATTTAAAGAGCCTAAGACTTAAAGTCCAAGGTTACGATTATACTCCTCTCTCTTCTTCAAACATATAAAAAGATGTTACATATTTAAAAGTCATGTAGATTACTATTTTTATAAATAGGTAAGTTTTTATCCAGAATATATTCATAACTAAATGCATATATCTGTTTACCACAAAAACTACTGACACGAAATGTGGTATGTGAGTTAAAGTCAAATAAATAATGGAAATGTCTCCACTATCACTGCTCTGTAGGATTTAGATGGTAGAACCCACAGAGATGAATCTGATGGGTGAATACAGACAACAAAAAATATATCTTTAAAAGACTCTGGACCATACTTTGTATCGGTAAAATAAAAATTCAAGTCCAATTGTAAAACTAACACCAGAAAAGACAACCAATAACACTATTATTAAGAAATTAATTCATTCCTGATAGTAGCAAATTATATCAAAATATTCAATTGACTTTAATATAAATATGCCAAAGGTCATCTGATGCATTAAAACTTTAATAGGTATAAAAATTATGATAAATCTTGTAAAAATGCATTATCTGAATCAATAAATTTGAATTGAGACCTAGAATTATGTATTTCTTAGAAACTCCCAGGTAATACTAATGCTGCTGATCTAAGAACCACATTTACTATAACAAGTCTTTAGAATGAGGTAATAGATAAATGTAATAAAGAATAAATTGGAAATCCTGGAAATGAAAATAATAGACAGTGATATCAAACAATTCAAAATATAGGAAGCTCTAGGCTAAAGCCAAAGACAAAATTCACATTAAGGCATTCAGAGAAGATTCGGTCCACAAAGATAATGAGAAAAAATATATAAAACAAGAATTAACAGACACAAGGGACATATTAATCCTCCAGAAGAAGCATCCTCTTCTAAATTATCATGGATAAAAAGCAGAATGAGAAACATAAAGCAAAAATTCCTAATAACTCACAAAGAAAAAGATCACTTCTAATGGAAGTATAATTATGCACCAGCAGACTTATGCTCAGCAATTAGAGGTGTCAGAAGCAGGAAGGGAAACAAAGTAAGAATATTCTGAGAATTGTGTCCACAGATAAAATAAAAAGCAAAGGCTTTTTCAGATATATAAAACCTAAATAGTGTAATACTCATGGACCCACAGTGAAGTAATCACCATATACGTCTGTGAGAATAAGAGAACCAGGTGAAGAAGTCAGATGGAAATATATATACACACATATATGTATATATATGTATATACACATATATGTATATGTATATATGTATACACATATATGTATATGTATATATGTATATACACATATATGTATATGTATATATGTATATACACATATATGTATATGTATATATGTATATACACATATATGTATGTGTATATATATGTATATATATGTATATATGTTTGACTCATATATGAGTCAAAAGAATGAAAACATATACAACATATACCAGTAGGCAAATCTCTGCCTACCTAAAATGGTTAATTTTATGTATGACCTTAACTGGACCACTAGGTGCCCAAATATTTGGTTAAACATTATTCTGACTATGTTTCTGAAAGTATTTCTAGATGAGATTAATGTTTAAATGAATACACTGAGTAAAGCTGATTTTTTCATCTGAATGTGAATGGACCTTATTCAATCTGTTGAAGGCCAGAATACAACATAAGGCAGAGTAAGGAATAATTCACTCTCTGAATGACTGTTTTCAAGCTGGGACATGGGTCTCCTGCCTTCAGACTTGGTCTCAGATAGAACTTAACCTTCAATTCTTCTGGTTTTTGGACTGAGAATAGGATTGGGGCTTAAACCATCAGCTTTCCTGGTTCTCGGGTCTTTGGATCCTGATTGGAATGATATCATTGGCTTTCCAGAGTCTTTAGCTTGCTGACTGCATATCTTGGAACTTCTCAGCTTTCATAATCAATTACAGTTGAATATGAGGTGATTCTTTATATATACATTTCTTATATGTGTACCAATTTCTTATATATATTGCATATTTATATGTTTATATATTTCTTATATATAAGTATACATATATATTCTATTTGTTTTATTTCTCTGGAAGACTGATTATCTTCTACTTACTGATCTATCAATCTATCTATAAGGGTAAAAAACTAAACAAATGTCTTAATTTAGTCAATTGTAAGAAGTGAAATAGGAAGGGTCTGTTCTATATGAATCATGTCTAGGTGTAGTTTTGGTTTATGAAGAAGCTAAATATATACCGATTAATGTATATTATTAATTATACTGATTAATATCTATTAATCAGTATATATTTATATTTGTCAATTAAAAGTGTACACATTACAAAATGTACACATTAAATACATTCAGCTATTAGGCTCAATACACACGGAGAAAAAATAAAGACATATTTTTAACAAGAAACAAAGAAATTTTTTAAAGATATTACATAAGTAGATACCCAAAAGAGAGCAAAAATAAACTCAACTATAATCATTATCATTAAAATGCAATGTGCTTATTATATTTAAAAAAGACTATCCAATTGAATTTAAAAATACTATCTACAAGTTTGTTTGGAGAGATGCCTAAAATATAGGAGCATAAAGATTGAATAAAGAGAATAAACGTAACAGAGGAGAGAGAGAGAGAGAGAAAGGAGAGAGAGCACCCTGATCTAACAATATTAATAGTATTCAAAATGTAAGGAATCTTCTCCTAAGGGTGTTATATAAGTAGGCATGATTATAAGAGTAACAGTTCACTGAGGATATGTAAAAATCATAAGAAGATAGCAATATAACTTTAAAATGTTTAATTCTCACTACCAGGTATATACACAAAGGAACTCAAATCAGTATGCCAAAGAAATGTCTGCACTCCCATGTTTATTGTAGCATTATTCACAATAGTCAAGATATGTGAACAACCTGTGTTGTTAACAAATGAATGGATTTAAAAATGGGATATATATACTCAATGAAATACTGTTCCACACTTAAAAACAGGAAATTCTGTCATTTGCGACAACATGGATGAACCCAGTGGTCATTATGTTAAGAAAAATAACCAACGCATAGAGAAACAAATGTTATATGATCTCAATTATATGTAAGATAGAAAACAGTGGCACTCTTAGAAAGCAAAACGGTGGACACAATAGGCTTAGGGGGATGGGAGAAACGGAAAGGGGAGTTGTTCAATAGGTACAGTTACAGTTAGATAAGAGGAATCAGTTCTGGTATTTCATTGTACAATAGAGGTGCTATAGTTAATAATATTGTTTTCTATATTTTAAAATTGCTGGAATAAAGTATTTTGAATATTTGCATCACGAAGAAATGATGAATGTTTGAGATGATGAGTATGCTAATTATTCTGATTGGATCATTACAAAATGTATACGTATATGGAAACATCACATTGGACCTCATAAATATGCATAATTTATATTTGTCAATTAAAAGTAAAATTTAAAATAAAATATTTAGCCAGGCGCGGTGGCTCACAACTGTAATCCCAGCACTTTGGGAGGCCGAGGCGGGTGGATCACCTAAGGTCAGGGGTTTGAGACCAGCCTGACCAATATGGTGAAACCCTGTCTCTACTAAAAATACAAAAATTAGCTGGGTGTGGTGGTGGGTGCCTTTAGTCCCAGCTACTCTGGAGGCTGAGACAGGAGAATTGCTTGAACCCAGGCGGCGGAAGTTGTGGTGAGCTGAGATCACACCACTACACTCCAGCCTGGATGACAGAGTAAGAGTCCATCTCAAAAAATAAAAATAAAAAATAAAACAATAAAAATAAATAATTTAAAATTCCATAGAATTATAAGGCAATGTTTTTAACATAGCTATGATACTTGCAGATTTTAATATATTTCTTAAAATTTTAGATAAATTTGATAAAATGTTAATAAGGATATTGAATATTTGACAACACAATCCATCTGATCTAACATGGATGTTAACCCAACACACATAAGACATACATTCTTTTCAAAGACACATTAAATATTTTTAAAATGGATGATTATGTATTTACAAAGAAAATCTTAAAAATACAATAATTTTTATCATAGAAAAAGCAATACAATGAAATATCAAGTTTTTAACCAGGAAAAACTTCATTTGAAAAATATAATGTACATTTCTAAATCAATTGTAAACAAATTCATATGAGAAAATAAGTATTTAGAACTGAATAAAAATGAATGTAATATATGTTTAAAATTTTGTTAGATTTGGTCAGAGTCCTGATTAGAGGCAAATTATAGTGGTACATGTATGAGTTAAAGAGGAAGAAATCATGAAATCATATTAGTTAAATATTTTAATTCATGAAAATAAAAAATATGGAGTAAATAGAAAAATAGTAAATGATAAATATATGATATTAATAAAATAAAGATATTAAATCTTGGGAGAAGGAACCATAGAGATAATAAAACCAAAATATAATTCTTTGAAAAACTAAGATACAAAATGATTCATCAAAGCAAACTAGAAAAAGCGTAAAGAAGCAAAACAACAGAGTTAGATGGGTGGAAGTTGTTTAAAAATCTTAAAACTATGAAATGATAGGATACTTGAAAAAGATAGGGATATTTCAAAATATATTATCAGTTAATGTTAATGAAATATAGAACCATTACTTGAATCAGTGGCCAAAAAAAATTTCTTCAAAAAGTTTTAGGAAATATGTGGCCAATATAGCTTTGAATGTTTTAAAAATATATATTTCAACAAATAGACAATACTTACTGTATTCAAGCTGTTCAAAGAATAGAAAAAAGGAAGTACTCCATAACACATTTTATGAGACCTGCGTAACCTCGATGATAAAACTGGATAAAATTAGAACCAGAAAATGCAATTGTAGAGCAAACTCATTTGTGAACACAGATGTAGAAAGCATGCACACTGTTACCAAATTGAAACCTGCATGTTTTTATATAAAATAAATCACATTTAAAGTAAATCATATTTAAATTTGTTCTAGCAATAGCAAAGAGCTTTAGTGTAAACAAATTGACAGTATATTTATACATTTAAAAATAACAAGATAATCTCAGTTGTTGCATTGAAATATTTGGTAAAAATTCAGGTATTACTCATGAATAAAAGCAAAGACAGAAACAAAACACTTAGCAAATCATATCTTGAACATTCCTTAACCTGATAAAAATATATTTAAGAACCCTCATTACATATTATTATCTTTATTGATGAATCTTTAGTGATATTGCAAAATCCTGTAACGGTACTCAATTCAAACTACAAGTGATCTATCTTAGCAATTTGTGATGTCCCTTATAATAAAATGGAAATGGTCAGAGTACACACAAGGGATAATTTGGCAAGGCAGGCTGTCAGGTCACTTAGCTTTATTGAATAAACACACGCACACACACACACACACATACACATTAAATATATTGTATATATATAGTAAATATAAGTGTATGTACATTATATATATTATATATATAAGTCTTCGGAGGCAGAGTGTTGTTTTCCTTGGGCTCAATTGAATCTAGCAAAAGATGTTTAGCTGTTTCTCTACACATTTTCATGCCAATAGTTTTAAGCTGTCTGCAATGTTCTTTCTCTTACATCATGCATTGGGAGAACATTTGAAGAGAGGACAGTCATGTATATATGACTAAAAGAACATTGCAGACAGATTCAAATTATTGACATGAGAAAGTGTAGAGAAACAGCTAAACATCTTTTAGGAGATTCAATTGAGCCCAGGGAAAACAAGAATCTGCCTCAGAAGACTATTGCCCCCACTAACATCTACACATCTTTTTCACATGTATTCCTGATTGTAGTTGTAGTAGTTTAGGTCCAGTTACTCTCAATGTTTTTTTTTTTTCTTTTTTTTTTTAATTTCAGCACAGCTGAAAGATTTATTTCATTGCATTGTAGGAAGAGCCAACAATTACTATTTAATATTATTTCAAATATTCCTTTAAAGAGTGTACACTTGTGCTATTAACTTCCTCTGTATTTATAGATTTATATTTTGAGTTTATTTAAATTTCATGAAATTTTCATAAAGGTTAAAACTGTCTCATTTATAAATATTTAAATAGCTGCTGGATATCCCTGGTAAAAACAGATATCACATGGTTGGAATATGGTAAAATGATTGCTTTACTTTCTTATCAGGAAATAATAACATAAAAAATCAAAACGTTTATCTAAAATAACATATTATAATTACTGTGTTTACTTAACTATGATCCTGTGATGATCTCTATTGCACATTTGACATTGAGGCCTAAGATTTGGTTTCTTCCAATGTCTTCACAATTACTCTAACAATAAAAATAGTCATTAAATAAATTATATCTCACACATTCAATAACTTTTTAGAGTGTTCAAGAACTTTGGAATTGATATATATAAAGTGTCAGATTCTTTATAGTTCATTATAGTGAGATACCTTAAAAGCATTGTTTTTGCATATTAGAAGTATATTAAATATTTTTGTTCTATTACTAGAACCTATTATTTTTTTAAAGGATCACAAAATGAATATTTTAGTAGTTATATGTTACACTTGAAAGTTTCGTTTTCTATGCACTTTAAAAATATATAATCTTTTTTATATTCCCATAGTAAATTCAAATACAATCAAATATATTTCTCATTTATTTCTTGCTAGCATCTAATAAAAATATTCCTTTAGCCCATGCAGAAATTAAACTGGAAACTTTTATTTTCTTTTGCCCAATGATAATTTTTTAAAAATTTTATATTTTATAGTAGTTTCACATGGTGTTAAAATCTTGCTATGGCATGAATATCGAGGTTATTGTTTTCTCTTATTCATTTACTCTCATCTGCTGAGAAGAAATTCTTCTATTTCTGCTGCAACCTATTGTGTTTGCACCTTTTAAAAGCTTGTTTTGCACTACTTTGTTGAATACTTTAACCATTTATTTACCACATGCATTTTTGGAAGGAATAATAAAAATAATTCTCCCTTTCAGTGGTTTGAATCAAAGTCATTATTTTAAGTTTCCTTAATTTTACTTTCATATTTATTCCAAAGGAGTTGTTCTAAAATTAATCTCACTGATATTGTACTTAATATAATATTTTTAAGAATAATCTTTACAGAGATAATTAAAATGATTATGTTTCCAAAATTTTTTTATTTTTAATTTTATGGGTATGTAGTAGGTGTATATATTTATGGGATACATAAAGTGTTTTAATAAAGGCTTGCAAGGTGAAATAATCACATCAAGGAGAGGAGGGTATCCATTCCCTCAAGCATTTATGCTTTTGGTTACCAACAATTCAATTATACTCTTAGTTATTTTAAAATGTACAATTATTATTGACTATAGTCACCCTGTTCTGCTATTAAATAGGAGGCCTTATTCATTCTTTCCGATTTTTTTTGTACCCGTTAATTATTGTCATCTTCTTCCCAAATCCCTACTACCATTCTCAGCCTCTGGTAACAACCCTTCTACTCTCTATGTTAATTAATTCAATTGTTTGATTTTTAAATCCCAAATATAAGTGAGAAAATGCAATGCTTGTCTTTTTGTGCCTGACTTATTTCACTTAACATCATGATCTCCAGTTCCATCCATGTTGTTGCAAATGACAGGATCTCATTCTTTTTTCAGGGCTGCATGGTAGTCCGTTGTGTATATGTACGGCAATTTCTTTATTCATTCATCTGTGGATAGACACTTATGTTGCTTCCAAATTTTAGCTATTGTAAATAGTTGCTGCAACACACATAGGAGTGCAAGAATCTCTTTGATATACTGATTTCCTTTCTTTTGGGTACATACCCAGCATTGGGATTGCAGGATCATTGGTAGCTCAATTTTTGTTTTTTTGAGGAACCTCCAAATGGTCCTCCATTGTGGTTGTACTAATTTACATTCCCACCAACTGTATAAAAAGGTTCCCTTTTCTTCACATACTGACCAGCATTTGTTATTGCTTATCTTCTGGGTAAAAGCCATTTTAACTGGGGTGAGATGATCGCTCACTGTAGTTTTGAATTTGCAATTCTCTGAGAGTGATTTTAAGTACCTTTTCATATACCTATTTGCCATATGCGTGTCTTCTTTAGGGAAATTGCTAAGCAAATCTTTTGCCCATTTTTGATCAGATTATTAGGTTTTCTCTATAGAGTCGTCCTCATATATTCTAGTTATTAATCCCTTGTCAGATGGGTGGTTTGGAAATATTTTATTCCATTCTGTGGGTTGTCTCTTCACTTTGCTGGTTGTTTCCTTTGCTGGGCAGAAGCTTTTTAACGTTGTGTCCATTTTTGCTGTGGTTGTCTGCGTTTTTGAAGTATTGCTCATAATTTTTTCCCCAGACCAATGTCTTGGAGATTTTCCCCAATGTTTTCCTGTAGTAGTTTCATAGTTTGAGGTCTTAGATTTAAGTCTTAATTCCATTTTGATTTGATTTTTGTAAATGGCAACAACTTTGCTGAATTTATCGGTTCTAATTGTTTTTCTTATGTGTGTCTGTGTGATGTCTTTAGATTTTTCCAAATATAAGATCATATCATCAGCAAACAAGACAATTGGAATTTTTTCTTTCCAATTTTGATGCCCTTTAATTCTTTCTCCTGTCTCATTGCTCTAGCTAGGACTTCCAGTGCTATGTTGAACAACAGTGTTGAAATTGAGCATTCTTGTCATGTTCAGATTTTAGAGGAAAGGCTTTCAGGTTTTCTCCATTTAGTAAACAATGATTAACTTTGAAGAAAATGTGAAGGCTTTTTCTTTTTTTGAGACGGAGTCTCGCTCTGTCGCCCAGGCTGGAGTGCAGTGGCGGGATCTCGGCTCACTGCAAGCTCCGCCTCCCGGGTTCACGCCATTCTCCTGCCTCAGCCTCCCAAGTAGCTGGGACTACAGGCGCCCGCCACTACGCCCGGCTAATTTTTTGTATTTTTAGTAGAGACGGGGTTTCACCGTTTTAGCCAGGATGGTCTCGATCTCCTGACCTCGTGATCCGCCCGCCTCGGCCTCCCAAAGTTCTGGGATTACAGGCGTGAGCCACCGCGCCCGGCCAATGTGAAGGCTTTTGAATAAAATTTACTTTAACATTATAGGTATAGGTATAAATTTACTATATAGGTATATTCTTAGCTCAAGTTTTCCCAGATTAATTGTACTAATTTCTTGGCAAGATACTGACATTTAACAGTAAAAAGGGGAAATAAAAATCTTATTTATAGAATAATGCTAATTAAATATTTAGAAGAAATGGTAAAAATAGAAACATCACCATTTAATAATCATCATAAGAAAAACTAAGGAAAAATTCATAGTCAATGTGAAGTAACTAGATTTTAGATGCCAAGATATTAAAAAAGCCTGAAATTATTGCCTCACAAATTACCAATTAATGACAAAAGAAACAATTTTATAATAAAAATAGTTTGTGAATACTACCTTAATATAACCAATTATGGAGCCATTAGAAAATTACCATTAGCTATTTATTCTTCTTAAAGATGATATTTTATTGCAATAGAATGATGACTTTTTCCCTCTAAATAATTGCTCTCTCTCTAAATATATATATGAAATGAGGTGATATAAAAAGGGAAACTACTTTCAACCCAAACAAGTATTTTTTCTTCAACACTAAATATAGCTTGTTAAAAATAAACCTCTGTCAAGTAACATTTTTTCTTTTTATGAGATTATTTGTTTATTTTTATTAGTAAAGAAAGATTGAAAGTCATGATCTCATAAATTGGTAGAAGGATTTAGGCTTTATAAAATTTTAGAAAAAAGTAATATATTATTATATAATATATAGATATTTACCAAATAGATAAACATTCATTGAGAATGTGTGTGGCTTACGAAAGTCTCTGAACTTTTCATTTCTAAACACATTCTTTGTGGGGCTTGAATTCTCAGTTCTGTGGAGTTGATATGGCTCTAAATTGATATAACAATTGAAATTTTATTAATATATATTTTTAATGAGAAACTAATATTTAGAAGGCAAATGTTGAATAAACTTTTTTATATTCAAAGTTTATAATCTAGTAGATTGATTCAGATAAACATCCCAAACTTATAATAAAGATCAAAGTTAATCAAAAGCTATTTTCTCCCTGTTGCTTCACTAACGTATAGTTTCTGCTTTTACTATAAAATCCCAATTGCTTATATGAGGAGATGGTGTTTAATCTCAGATTATGGTTTGAAGTAGAATGACAAAGCAGTATCAATAGTTTGCTCATTTTTGTTGTGGAATAGTATTCAATTATATGAATATATGACAATTTGGTTATCAGCTCATCTTTTAATGGAAATTTAGATTGTTTTCATTTATTATGAATAAAGTTACTGTGAACAATCATGTAAAAAGTTTTCAACTTTTTGTAATCACTTGATGGGGGGAAAAAGTTTAGTTCAAATACCTCTGCCCAGTGACACAGCATGGAAACATCAATAACAAATAGAGGGGGAATATTGACATTTCTCTAATAATAAAGTTAAATCATATTTTCATAGCAGGAGCTATCACACATCTTATGAACAGATAGAAAAATACTTCTCTATGTCATAGAGATTTTCCAAGGCAGTGCATCTAAGGCTGAGTGTTTCACTTTAATGTTTGTCAATGTGCTATTTAATTTAATTTTTATCTAATTCCCAAAACATCAGGAAGAATATGAGCTATCATGCTGACAAGGATATTTTTGAAGAGCTGGGATTTGGAATGCCCTTCCCCATTCTGAAATGTTTTGTGCATCTGAAGTCCCAAGTGCTGTCTAGTGCTGCTATATGGCACAGTATTTTTTTTGGAATGTATATTTCAGATAGGTTGACAAATATTACTGATAGCAAGGACCTAAAGCTTAGGATAAGATAAAGCCATGTGTGTAAGGGATAAATTTCATGAAAGGAAAGCCAAGATTTATAGCCAGCTGTTTGTAAAAATGATGCCTTAGGAAGGAAAGGAGGGGATACTTGTCAATACGGTGGACTGAACTAATGAGGGTAGGTCCGACACACTGAAAAATTCAAAAACTCCAGGAATCATGTTTTAATATGTATGATTAGGCTCAAAAGAAATGACAACGGAATCAATTCTAAGGTACAAATAAAAAGCAGGTAAAGCAGAATTGTTGGATCAAAATATTTCAATTTGTTTTAAAAAGATGGCCATGCCATAGACCTTCATATTTAGCTAGAGGGAGATGAAACTGAGTATCTTGCAGAAAATCATTACTGAGGAGATGCTAACTCTGCTTCTAAATGAGACTCAATTTTTACCCCAATGTCTTGGATATGAAGTAAAGAAGCAGGAGGCTTATAAGGATATGACTCTATGCTTGAATTGCCAATAAGTTATAGAAACTACAAATTAAAAATTAATATTTTAAAATGGTCTGAATTTAGACAATCCATCTGGGTTACAAAACACAAATAAAATGTTTTATAGGAAAGTTTCCATATGAGGTATTTCAAATATGACAGAAAACAACTTCCATGTTATATACTAAAGAGCTGACAAATAACTAAAGATAAGACAGAACTGTGAAAGAGACTTTAAGCATGTGTAAAGTGATCACACTGAAAAATGAACTTGAACCTGAAAGGAAAAATAAAATACATTAAAAACGGGCATATTAAGAACTAGAAATTTTATATACATGAAAACATAGTCATTGAGTTAAACAAAATACTAACAAATAGACAAACCAAACTAGTTATGAGAATTCTTTTAAGACAGAAAAAATGAACTGAAAACCTGAGGAAAGAAAAGCAAGTCTTTGAATTGGGGCCTGGCAACAGAGATAATCACATGTAATGTTTTAGTCTATTTGTATATTCTTTTTGTGGACTGTGTAGTCAATTTAGAACAGTTCTAAAATGTTTTACTCCTGTGATTTTATTTTCCTTAATTATTTGCACCACTTCCAAAACTGTACATTTGACAAACTTGTGCATTGCTACTGTGGCCACTAAAATTGTAGGGGCATCAAGGAAAGTGAGCCTGTCTACCTTGAAATTGTTACTGGTGTCTTTACAGAGGTATCATTATCTCTTTGATGATTCTTTCAAAGTATTTGCTTTGAATGGAATAACTCATCCCAGAGATAGAAGCAGAGAATAAGAACACGAAACTCAAAACAGGATGTCTGGAGTGGCGTCAGACGAATCACACAATTCCAGTACATTTTATAAGACGATGACTTTAGAACACTAGAATAGGGAGAATAATTTTTGTTACAGTATAAGATGAGTCCCATTTAAAAAAAGTTATAGGGTTGTATGGAAGTTTAACGATGGAATGTTCATGTAAGCATGAGTTCCTATGGATATTTTATTTTTAGCATTTGACATAAACGTTGAAGGAAGTGTAAAATGTTGACAAAAGGAGATAGAAATAATCTTATGCAAAAAAAGAAATGTCACAAGCAATGTCGCATAATCTGACTTGGAAAGAGGGAACAGTGTTCTTTACTGGATATTGAAAGAAAAAATGGGGTGTTAAACTAGAAAAGTAGAGGTGTAATTGGAGATATTATAAGACAGTTTGAAATAAGGAGTGAATGTTAGAAGAAAAATCTAATAAACAGATAAGAATTAAAAGTTGATCATGGCATATAGAATAAGAAAAACAGCCAATTAGATCTACAGTTTATAAAAATAAGGACAAAAATTGTGATAAAAAAGGAATTTAAAAATGGACTCTCTGATGAATTAAAAGAGAACAGATATACAAGGTATGAGGGGTTATTGTCAAATGCCGAGATGTTTTATTGAAAAGGAGTGAAAGTGGGAAAGGAGTTTAGTGGAATATATTAAAGCAAAGGGATATTATTGAATTTAACCATTGGATGCCTATTGTTGATCTTTAATAGAGTGCTTTTTGAAGTGATAGTGGAATTTTCAGTTTTCAAAGTTAAAATGGTATGCCAATTGTCATCTAAAAATACACTCCCTGAGTCTTTTTGGGAATATGGCTGCATCTAGCTGCTGTCGAGTCTAGAAAATGTCATTCTTAATGTATTCATGCCACTGTATTTTGAGTCTTCTTGCTATTGCAACCTAAACTGTATTCTAACTAAAGCAGATACTAGTATCACTAGAGGGTTGGTCCTGTGACAGAAACTGAAAATATGTGACATTAGAAGAGTACTCAGGCAGTATAGATGGGTAAGGTTGGAAAGCTGGTGACCCCTGTTATGCCAGTATAGCTGATAAATTGTTGTCTTTGAAAAGGTAACTAAGCCACGTGTTTGTTAAGCAAATTAGGTGACTCTTGAGCCTATATTTTTGAGGAAATCATTACAAAGATCCATAATGTAACTATATATTGCCTGTTTCTTGTTGCTTTATGCAAATTACTACAATAAAGAGAACCTCAGATAAGATCTGACTTACTTTCAAAACAAAATGAAGGGGAGCGTCTAAAAATATGGGGCTTTGCAGGATGGCAATATCCAAATCATTTTTTTACTCCCCTAAAACATCAAGATAAAAGTGTCAGTCTAAAAACATGTGTTCAGACTTCTGATTAAGATTTCTAATCCATAAGGTATCTAAGTTTGTGGCAAACATCAGATTTGGAGTATTGTCTTTCACTCCCATGTATTGTGTCAGAGATCTTCAAGTTGCCTCAATCAAAATAAGTTAGAAATAGGCACAGACAAGAAAATCACAAGGCAGGCTTAGGAAGTATGTCCATAAAATAATGCTGTGATTTTTTCCCTGGCATATTAATACTGAGGGGAAGCAAATAGGCCATGGGTCTAAAAATTTTTGAGAGAGCAATTACAAAGAAGTCACAAAATTGGCCTAAAAGAATTGATTGCTTATCTGTAAAACAATTCTCAGGCTCCCAGAACTGCACCTGCAAAAAGTAGTTTGTGTAAGTATGCAGCCTCCAAGGAGAATATAGATTCATTCTTCAGATGTAGCCACAGAAGCTAATGAACACAAAGATGGACCTCCCAGAAGGCAGAGCCATGTGCCGTGGAAGACAGAGGATGAGATCCTTTTTCTCACAGCTCAGAATCTGGGTCTACCCAATGAATTTACTCAACTTTCAACAGTCAGCCTTTATTAGTCCTTCCCAGAAAGACATTGTTATTATGTGCTGACTGACCTGTTTCCCATTCTATTTTCTTTCTTTTTTTAATTTTTTTTTATTATACTTTAAGTTTTAGGGTACATGTGCACAACGTGCAGGTTTGTTACATATGTATACATGTGCCATGTTGGTGTGCTGTACCCATTCTAATGAATTCTTTTTAACTGCAGTAATTTTGTTTCTGTTCCACTCTCATATATTATTCTCATTAGCAACTTCAGACCCAGGCAAAAAGGGGTGCTGCCTTGGACTCCGTATTTTGGCAAACTCAATTCTGTCCTTCCCCAGTCTAACCCCAATTTTCAAGGTAAGAGTTGCATAGGCCAAAGGGCAGTGATGCCTGTGTCTAGTTGAAGCATAGGCTCCACTTCCGGGCCATGCTTTGAATGCCTAATAGTCCACAGATCCCTGCTCAAATAGACCCTAATTGGCTTCCAGGTATTTTACAGACCTTCTACCCACGTCATCCTCCTGAAAATTGCTGGCCTTAACTTAAACCCAAGAATGGGCTAAGGGCAGCAATGTATTTTGGCTTGCAGACTAGAGTGTAACTCAATTAATCATAAGAAAAGTGAGTGAAGAGAAGAGGGGGTCATGGTTACAAATTCAGAGCTAGGGTTATCTTTCCTTGTGTTTTCATATATTCTAGGATGGAAAAACAAGAATCTGAGAATTTTGAATTTGTCAACGTAAGTGAATAGAATGTATTATATTTAACAGTATAATTTGTTTGGTTTATATATTTTTAATTTTATTTATTTATTTTTTGAGGAGCTGGATTGCAGTGTCATGACCTGGGCTCAGTGTAACTTCCATCTGCCAGGCTCAAGAGATCCTCCCGCCTCAGCGTCTCGAGTAGCTGGGACTACAGGAACGTGCCACCAGGCCTGGCTAATTTTTTATTTTTTTTGTGAAGACGGGGTTTCACTATGTGGCTCAGGCTGGTCTCAAACTCCAGGAATCAAGGGACCCACCTGCCTAGGCCTCCCAAAGTGCTGGGATTACAGGCATGAGCTACCGCACCAGGGCTGTATGTAATTATTTAATATTGTTTGTCTTAGCCATATATCAGGTTGTTTATAAACAACAGAAATTTATTTCACACAGTTCTGTAAGCTAGAAAATCCACAATTAAGGCGTCATCAGATTTGATGTCCAGGGAGGGCCCACTTTCCCATAATGACACCCTCTCACTCTGTCCTCACAGGGTGAAAGGGGTTAGTTAGCTTTTTGAGGTCTCTTTGTAAGGGCAGTAATCCTATTCACAGAGGCTCTGCCCTCCTGATCTAGTCACCTCCCAAAGGCCCCACCTCCTAATAGCATCACATTGAGGATTAGGTTTTAATGTATAATTTTTGGAGGGACACAAACATTCAAACCATTGCATAGGTATAGGATATGTAAGACTACATTTGTAATATTTTTCTTGCCCCCATAAATATTGTCACATACCAAAATATGACAGATTATTTTTCTATTAGTTTATAAGTTGTCAGGATATAGGATCTGTGACTGAACCTAATAGAGAGGGATGCCCATTAACCACAGATTCTGAGATTTGTGATGGAAGAGGTAATAGGATAGGACCTTGGGCTTTGTCCTTTGGCGGAAGAATGAGTTCACTTTGTTGGAAGCAGAGTGTGCACCAATAAATGGTTGCCATAGGATGGACTCTGGCAGCCTACCAGTTATTCCCTTCAAATCTTTTCCCCTCTTTTTTTCTGGGCACATGGCTACAAAGCTGTGAACAATTTCTGTTGTCCTCACACGTATTAGCCATGTGAAGCTCTGTAATAAGTTCTCACCAATGGAATATGAACAAAGTAATGTGTTAAAAGAAGATTAAAAGGTTAAAAGAAGATTTCTTGCTCTGGTCTTGCTCACTTTTCCCTTCTTGCAGACTGAAATGTACATATGGTAGAGGTGCAGCATCAGTCATGCTGATGAAGAAAACATCCATGGGATTGATGGAGGATGAAAACGGGCTCAATAAAAATTCACAGAGAAAAGCTGCCTTACGTGTGTGAGATAAACTTCACTCTTTAAGCTATTACATTTTTCCCCCCAGCAGTTTAGCCTTTAGTCTAAGAAAACTACTTAGAAAAATATGGGCTTATTGTTACTCATTTAAACTGGGCATATGAGTTATTATGGGCAAATGAAGTTATTATGATAAGCACAAACTACTTGTTTATCTTTCCTTAGAGTAACTAAAGGACAGAATGTGTAGACAGAACTCAGTTATAATGTCATTTTTTCATATAACTCCTCTCATGCTTAGGAAGTAAGATATTAGAATTCTAGGAAAAGTCAGATATATGTAGTCATTTGGAACCTTATGAATACCTTCAACTTTCAGAAAATAATATTACATATATATACACACAATAGTACATAGAAAATTTATAGTGTATAATATAGCATTTATGCATAGTACATAGCATACAGATTATATAGAGTATATAAAGTATATAGCATATAGAGCATTTACAGTAATACTGTATATTACTCTTCATGTATTCATTAATTTTAATATCTATTTCAATTTACTTTTCACACATTCACAATATTTATGTTTTCTAGAAGTATTTTAAAGTTTTCATTTTTACAATTAACAGAATAATAAAATTGCCTAGTTGTTTTAAAATTAGGTAGAAAATAGTAACTTGTAAGAAACTACCTAGAAGCACATCATTAACTTCATGAATGTATAAATGAGTTTGTCATTTGCTAGAAGCCAATGAGATACATGCTTGGTGTCTAATTTGTCAAGCATCACTTTTTGAAAATCTTAAGTAGAGACATCTTCTAAATCTGAGTCATAGACCAAGTCTCAGTCTCTCTCTCCATATATATATAATATATAATATATAAATAAAAAATATATAATATATAATACACACACTGTTAGGATCAGTTGGTTTATATGTTTTTAACTCATGTATTTTTTTAACTGAACTTCTGTCTAGATGTTCTATCCATTATTGAAAGTGAGGTATTCAAGTCTCCATCTATTAATGTAGAACTATCTATTCTTACCTTCAAGTTTGTCAGTACTTGCTTCAGATTATTTTAGGACTATGTTGTTTTGAGAATATATGTTTATAATTACACCTTCTTAATGAATTGACACTTTTTAAAATATATACCTCCCTCTTCCTCATATACCAGTTATAAAATTACTTTGATATTACCACCATAGCTCTCTTTTTGGTTGATACTGGTATGGAATATCTTTTTCTATCCTTTAACTTTCAATCTGAGTCTTTAGATCTAATGCGAGTCTCTTGAAATTGTGTTGTTTTTAGAATTCACTCTATTTTGCCTTTGATTGAAGAGTTTGATACATTTATATTTCAAGTAATCATTGATTTAAAAAGGGCTTCTGCCATTTTGCTGTTTTTTTCTACACAACTATATTTTTTTGCTCTCATTTTCTCTATTATTACCTTTTCTGTTTGCTTTTAGTTGAGTTTGAAAAATAGGGCGCTACTTAATTCCCTTTTATTTTCTGTGTATTATTTTGTGGATATTTTCTCTGTGCTTATTATAGGTATAATATTCAAAATCCTATATTTATCACAATGTACTTTGAATTAAAGTTAACATCCCCAGCATGCAAATACCCTACTCCTATGTAACTTCACTCCATTTTATGTTGTTTCTCTTATAAGTTACACATTTCTACATTTTATGCTCAGAATTATAATGATTTTGATATAGTTATTTTGATATTGTTTCTGCTAGAAATTAAACAGTTATAAATAAAAAATACAATAATACTGGCTTTTATATTTAATTACACATTTTGATAATTTCAAGTATTTATAGTTCTCAAACTATATTTTCTGCTTGCTCAAATCTTCTGTCTTTTAAAATGTCTATTATAATTTTAGCTCCAGAATTTATATTTAGTTCTTTTTGGAATTTCTTTCTTTCTTTCATTCTATTTTGTTTGTGCATTATTTTCATGATTTCTTTTAGTTCTTTATGTTTTTACTTTTATGTTTTTCTGTGAGGACAGTTATGTACCACGTAATGATATTTCAGTCAGTGGGGGACCAACCACTTTTATGATTGTCCTCCCATAGGATTATAATATTGTATTTTTACTGTACTTTTCTATGTTTATACATGTTTAGATACATAATACTTATCACTGTGTTACAGTTGCCTACAATATTTAGTACAGTAACATTCGGTACAGGTTTCTAGCCTAGGAGCAATCGGCTACACCATATAGTCTAGATATATAGTACGCTATACCATCTAGCTTTGCCTGAATACAATCTGATGTTTGCATATTGACAAAATTGTCCAGTAATGCATTTCTTAGGACATATTGCCATTGGTTAGTAACATATAACTGTATATTTAAAATCTTTTCTAGTAAATCCAATGTCCGGACTTCCTCAGGGACAGTTTCTGTCAATTTATTTTGTTCTGTTACATGGGCCATACTTTCCTATTTGTCAGCCTTGTGATTTTTGTAGAAACCTGGATATTTGGATATTACTGTGTGGTAACTTGGAGATTCTCTCCTTTCCTCAAAGTTTGTTATTTTCTGGTTGAGACTAGTAGAAATCTGTCTAATTACTTTCTAACCTATTTTTGCAGACTATTCCATTTCTCGTGTGATAACTGACATGTCTGTTCTTTAGCTTGTGTTCAGCTATTGTACTGGCATTTTTTTGTTTTTATTACCAGGGTCTAAAACAAACAAGCAAGCAAACAAAAAATGCCTCTCCCAATATTTGAGATTAGCTCTGTGCCATAGACACAGACATTTAGCCAGACTTGTATTAAGTCTATTTATTAGCCTGAGATAAAAGCTCTGGGTCTTGTTGAGCATGTGTCTTGCTCTGGACATATATGTGGCTTTCTTAATTCCCTTGTATGCATAGATATTTTTGAATGTCTTAATTTTTCAAAGAAACTCTCCCCTAGCTATTCCTCCTCAGCCTTAGTAGTTTATTACATGTCTAGAACATAATATTTTGTCCCACGCATTTTTGATTCCTTAGATCATCTTGTGGGTTTTTGTCTGTTTGTTTGAGATGGAGTTTCGCTCTTGTTGCCCAGGCTGGATTGCAATGGTGCGATCTTGGCTCACCATAACCCCGCCTCCCGGGTTCATGTGGTTCTCCTGCCTCAGCCTCCCAAGTAGCTGGGATTACAGGCATGCACCACCACACCTGGCTAATTTTGTGTTTTTAGTAGAGACACGGTTTCTCCATGTTGGTCAGACTGGTCTCGAACTCCTGACCTCAGGTGATCCGCCCACCTCGGCCTCCCAAAGTGCTGGGATTACAGGAGTGAGCCACCGTGCCTGGCCCATCTTGTGGTTTTTTTGAATGATGCTCATTCTTTTTCCAGCCTGAGTTCTGAATTAAGTGAAAGATTGATGAGCACCTTATCTCAATCCTTCAAGGAGTCCTCAAAGAGTTTATAGCAGGCATGCACAATAATTTGCAAATGAAGTTTGTTCTACTCTTTTCAGTCCCAGGAACCAAGGTCCTACGTTGGGAGCATAAGCTACCTTCAAGACTGTTACCATGCTGTGAAGGGGGTGGAGCAAGGGAAAGCAAAAATATCACAAGTATTTTTATTTCTTATATCAGCTATGTTTTTCTTGAGTCAGCATTTGCTTTGTTGCTTTGTTGCTTCATTTCTTGCTGTAAATCTGGAACTATTTTTTAAAATTCTAATGAAGTTGCATCTGACTGGTTATACTTATTTTTCAGTGTTTTTGTGGAGAGATGATAGTTAAATCTGGCCATTCCATTTTGCTGAGGTCATCCTATCTCTAAATATGCCTCCCTAATCCTAATACAGGAGATTGCAAGAGGACAACTCGGCTCTAAAATCGATGCATTAACATGTCATTGGAATTGACCTTGCCAAAAGATGCCTCCCTAAATCCACAAGAATCTCCTTGTTTGAACACAGGTAGGCACTTAGAATTTTGTGTTATATTTTTGACCCACAGGTTATTTAGAAGTGTGTTTGTTTAATTTGAATATATTTGTGAATTTCCAAGGGCCCTTTTTATTGATGATTCTGATTTTATTCCATTTTGTTTGGAGTACATTCCTGATTGATCTCTACTGCTTTGCATTTATTCATTCTGTTTAAGGCTTGGCATTTGATCTATTCTGGAAAATGTACCATGAGCACTTGGGAAGAATGTGTACTCTGTTGTTGTTGGGTCAAGTGTCCAATGCATATTTATTAGGTCTTGTTGATTGTTAACTTTACTACTGCCTTGTTAATCTTCTTCATAGTTGCTCTAACCATTATTAAAAGAAGGACATTGAAGTCTCCAGTTATTGTGGAAATGTCTTTTCTCCCCTCAGTTCTGTCAGTTTTGCTTAGTGTAGTGTTATCGCTTTTTAGGTACATATATATTCATAATTGTAATCTGTTTCTAATGAGTTGATTATTATATGATTATCAAACATCCCTCTTTTTCTTTTGGTAACTGTTTTGGTGTTACTTTATTTGATATTGGTGTAGCCTCCAGATTTCTTGTGTTGCCAACATGAAATACTATATTCCATTATTTTACTTTTGATTTTTTGTATGTTTAAATCTAAATTGAGTTTTGTATCGAAAACATATAGTTGGAACTTTTTAAAAATTTAATTTGACAATTTCTGCCTTTTGGTTGGATTTTTAATTCGTTCACATTTAATATCATTACTGATAAGATTTGGGATACTGATGTATGCAATTTTGCTGTTTCTTGTATGTCTCATGTTGTTATCTTTTTTTTACTGCTTTCTTTTGCATTGAGCATACATTTTGTTTAATTTATTTAATACCTTACTCTATTTTAAAAAAATGATTTTCTTAGTGATTTCTCTAGGGTTTATGATTTACAGCTTAACAGAATCTACTTTATATTAATACTAACTTAATCATCATGAGATATAGAAAGGTTATTTCAATATAGTTCTATATCTTCTTCCATTTTTGTGCTATTATTGTTTTATATATTACATTTATATATGTAAAGAACCCAAACCTGCATTTTTATTATTATTGCTATACATGCATTTATCTTTTAAAGAAGCTGAATAAAAAAGAGTAAATATATACTTTAAAATTTTCGTATTAACCACTTTATCATTTCTGATTCTATTCATTAGCTTCTGTAGATTTAAGTTGATGCTGTTGATTCAAGTTACAGTTTAGTACAATTTTGTTACATCCCATTTAGGTTTTCTCCTACCCACCTCTTTTATTCTATTATCTGATATATTTTTAAATGCTGTAAGTCCAATGATGCAATTTCATTCATATTATTTTATATACTTACTTTTAAAATCACTTATTAAGATAAAGGACAGGAAATATATATATATATAGTATTTTATAATTACATAAATACTTTAATCAGTTCTCTTTTTTTTTTGTTTTTAGATTTAGATTATCATACAAGGTTACTTGCTTTCAGCCTGAATAACTTCCTGTTACATATTGTAAAGCCAATTTTCCAAATAACACATTTGCTCAGTTTTATTTGGGTAATGATTTTACCATTTGTTTTAAAAGATACATTTGCTGGAAAACAATTCTTGGTTGTCATTATTTATTATTTCATAGCCTCTTGGCATTCTGGCCTCTTTATTTTTTATTTTTTTATGAGTTGTCAACTGTTAGTGGAATCCCCTCAGAGGTAACAAGTCATTTGTTTTTTCCTACTCCCTTAAAGATAGACCTCTTTGTCTTTTAATAAACTTTTATAATATGTCTGTGTGGGTATCCTTGGATTTATCCTGCTTAGAGTTTCTGGAGCTTCCTGAGTGTATAGATTTCTTTTCATCAAATTTCAAATGATTTCTGTCATTTGAAAATTTTATTTTCTTTTGTTAGTTTCTCTTTGAGGTACTCACACTAGTACACTAGTTTGCTTAATGTTGTCCTACATTTCCCTGAGCTCTGTTTATTTTTGTTAATTAATGAATCTTAATTCGCTCATTTTTCCTGATTTTTATTGCATAATTTCTATATATCTTTAAGTTTTATTATTTTTTATTTTTTTTTTACCAGCTCAAATCTTCTCTTAAGACACTCTAGTAAATTTTTAACTTGGATTTTATGTTTTCATTTCCAGATTTCAATTTGATTTTTAAAAAGTAGTTTATATCTTTCTTAATACTCTGACATTGTCATTGTACTTCTGTAAGCATGAATTCTTCTAGTTTTTACAAATATTTTTAAAGTCCATTAATGTCTTTGTCTATTAAGTTTCATATGTTGGCTTTAACAGGAGTAACTTCTAATTTTTTTCCTGTTTATGTGGTATTGCTGTTTACTTACAAAGCTTATAATATTTGCTTAAAACTTGACATTATAAGTAATATATTCTAGACATTATGGATGCTTACTATCACTCCTTCGCCAGGGCTAGCTTTTGTGGTGGTTTACTTATGTGCTTGTTTAGTGGATGAGATGGACTATTTTAATGTCCATGGGAACAGTAGCTATAGTATCTCTTTTTTTCTGATATTAGTAAATATTGTGTTATCTTTTTTTGTCTTAGTCTGACTACTGGTTGATTGATGCTATTGATCATTTCAATAAACCAGCTTTTGGTTGTGTTGATTTTATTATTTTTCAATTATTAATTTCATTGATTTCTGCTTTACTTTTTTTTTTTTTTTACTTCTTCTTGTTTGCATTTTAAATTGCTACTTTTAGTGTCCTAATTTAGATTGCCAAGTTTTACAGGTTTTTAATTTTGTAATTATGGAGTTAATATGACACACTGCCTACTAAACATTGATTTTTGTTGCATCACACAAACTTTAATGAGTTGTATTTTTTATTTACATTCACTTCAAAATAGTTTTAATTAAAAATATTTTTTGCCCATTTGTTACTTATAATCGAGTTGATTAATCTACAAATATATGTGGGTCTTCCACCTATACTTCTCTTATTGATTTACAATTTAATACCACTGTGGTTTAATAACACATTTTGAATGATTTTTATTCTTTTAATTTGTAAAATAAAATTTATGGCCCAGAATGTGGTCTAATTTGGTGGGTGTTTTATGTGAGTTTGAGCAAAATGTGTATTTATTTTTTTGTTGGATGGAAGTTTCCATAAATATCATATACATAAGATGGACTTATAATGCCATTTATGTCAATTTCATCCTTCTTAACAGCTATTTTGAAAGCTACAACTATAATAGTGGATTTGTTTACTTATGTCTTAACTTCTCTTAATTATTTGTTGTGTATTTTACCACTGTAGCTAGGTGTATACACATTTAGAATTATATCTTCTTGGAGAATTGACACTTTTATTATTATGTTGCACCTCTGTTTATCTCCAATAATTCTTCTTGCTCTAAAGTCTGCTATTTCAAAATTAATGTAGTGACTCCAGCTTTCCTTTGATCAGTTTTAGTATGGTAAATGTTTCTTCATTTCTTTATTTCAAGACTATCTGACCCTTCATATTAAAAAGTACTTTTACAAATTTACATATTATTAGATAATTTTTTATTCATTATAATAAGCTCTAGTTGCTGCATTTAGACTGTTCACATTTAAAGTTATAAATTATGTAGTTAGATTAATGACAGTCAAGTTTATTACACTTTCTATACCTTTTCAGAGGCATATATTTATGCATTCTTTGATTTCATTTGGGTGTTTTGTATAGCTTCATTTTACTTTTTCCTTTAGTATATCAGCTACACAGTTTAAAAAATATATATGTTGGTTTGTGCTAGTGTTTAAAATATTTTTAATGAATCTAACTCAACTCTTAAGTAACACTACTTGTCTTTGTGTGTAATTTATGTGTCTTATGATGGAGAGTTCCAAGTTCCTTCCTCCTGTCTCCCATGTTATAGCACTCATCCATTTTTTTATCCATGTGCTATAATCACATGGATAATCACACAACACATTTCAGCTTAATATTAATACTTTTAAAAAGTTATTAAGATCAATAACAATAAGAAAAATATTTCCTTCATCTTCATTTATTTCTTCTCTGATATTTTTTTCTTCATGTAAATTTTTTTTCTGACTTACATCATTTCCTCATGCCTCATGTCTATGGACATATTTTACAAATCAAGTTTGCTGGAAAACAATTCCTTCTGTGTTTGCTTGTTTAAGAAATCATTTATTTCTCCTTCACTTTTGAAAGTTAGTTTAGCTGGACATAGAATTTTGAATTCTATTTTTCTTTTTGCTTTCTCTATTTTTCTCTTTTTTCTTTCTTTCAACTTTACATGTTTGCTCAACTTTCTGCTGGCTTGTATTGTTTCTGACAAAACATCAGCACTAAAGCTTATCTTTATCCCTTTAAAACTAAAGTATTTTCATCTTGTGCCAGTATCTTTCAAAATTTTATTTGTGTCTTTTTTTTCTGAAGTTTGAATATGCTATGTATAGGAATAGTATTTTTTGATACATATTCTGCTTTAATTTCTCTGTGCTTCCTGGAACTGTGGTTTGGTGTCTGTCATCAATTTTGAAAAGGAGTTTTCACCTATTAGCATTTTATGTATTTTTTTTCTGCTTTGTTCTGTCTTCTCATTCTGGTGTTCAAATTTGACATTATACACTTTTAAAAGGTTTGTTTCAGTTTTGATTGACACGTAGAATTGTGCATTGTTATGGTTACAATGTGAGGTTTTAATATATGTTTATATTGTGTATTAATCAAATGAAGGTAAATAGAAAATTAAGTACTTCAAACTTTCTTTGTGGTGAGAACACTGTGAATCCTCTCTTCTGTTTTGAAATATATGATACATTGTTGTTAATTATAGTCATCTTACTGTCCAATAAACACCAAAACATATTCCTCATATTTAACTGTAACTTTGTACGTCTTGACCAATCTCTCCTCATCTATCATCTCCCCTCCCCTCTCCAGCCTCCTAACCACTATTCTATTTCCTACTTCTATGAGATCAACTTCTTAAACTCCCATATATAAGTAAGAACATGCAGTGTTGGTCTTTATGCGCTTGGCGTTTTTTGCTTAACATAATGTCTTTCTGGTTTGTTCATGTTATTGCAAAGGACAGTGTTTCCATCTTATTAAAGGCTGAATAGTATCCATTGTGTATATATACCATTTTTCCTTTATCCATTCATTTGTTGGTGGACACTATTTTACATGTCTTGGCTACTTAAGTACAACTGAAATAAACATGGGAGTGCAGAAATCTCTTCTACATACTGATTTTATTTCATTTGAATATATACATTTTGACATTTTCCCATAGTTCTTGGATATTTTATTCCTCTTCTTTTCATTCATTCTTTTTCTTCGCACTTTATTTTGGGAAGTTTCTTTTGGCCTATACTCAAATTCAGTGATTCTTTTCATAGTCATGTCTAGTCTATTGAGTCCAAAAACGTATTCTATATGTAGATTACATTATTTTTGAATTTCTAGACTTTCTTTTGATCCTTTCTTAGATTTGTTTAAAATCCTTTTGCTAACATTGCCCATTTTCTTGCATCTTATCAATGACTGGGACAAAGCTCATACAGTCTTTCTCTCTGAAGAGAAGGCCTTGTTTTGCAGATAACTCTGGTAGTATGTCACAGAGATTATTCATTGTCCCCTATCAGAGCCATGAGATCTTTCTCAAACGGTTACTGTGAGAATCTCCTAGGAATTCTGGATGTAAAGCCCATAAAAATGTATTGGACCACTAAAAATATTCCCTCAATTATTTTCTCACTCTCACCCAGTTCACAATCATCTTTCAGCAATTTGTCATAGTTACTATTTAAGTGTACATTCCAGTTTTTGCTATTGTTTGTTGTTGTTTTGTAATGCTCACACTTTATTAAATAATATGAGAAAGGATACAATATATATGTTAGGACTTTTATATAATATGTCCTAACAGTTTTTCTTTGCAGTGGTTTCTACCCCAGGTAAATAAAAGTTGGCTGTAATTACCTGGATCAGTCTGTCTCTCTAGATATTGGGGTAGTGATTTTCTTTTCCACCTCAATTTGCTTTTCCAAGTCAATTATCTGATATGTCCAAGAAAATTTGTTGATTTTATTTTTGTCCAGTCTTTGTTTATTGTAAGGATGTAAGCGATGACCTCCCAGCTCTTTTCATGTCTGAGCTGAAACTGGAAGTTTCCTAAAGGGGCCAGAAGATGTTCAATTTATCTGAGTTTTAATAATTTTGGCACATTATTGTCTGTCTATGAACTTGATTGTCCATGTTGTTTCCAAGCCAATGTTCAGTACATAAAAATTATTTTGATAGATTGCTTCTATTTTACTGTTATTTATTTATTTATTTATTTTCTGAAATGGCCTTGTCTTGTCTACGTATATCCCTTCACTTGGTCATTACACAGAAGAGTTCTTTGGTTCTGCCTTGATTTTGGTTTGTGGAACCATAATGGAAGACTATAACTATAGTTTGAATGTCTTTAGTTCCATAGGTTATAAATCCTAATTATGTGATGTTTTCTCCACTGATTCCTTTTTACAGGAAACATATGAAACATTAAGGCACATGTACAAGAAACCCACAAAAGAAAAAAAACAAATTGTACTGTCTATTTAATATAATGACATTCTTCCTTCACTATAATCATATTTATATTGTATTTTAGCTCTTCATAGTTTTTCTTTCACATAAATCCTTTCATTAATTACATTTTTTCTATTGTTTTTCACCTTCTAACTTGAAAGCAGAACATAATAAAGAGATCAATAAAGTCTACATATTATCAACTTTAAGGATTGAAAATTAAATTGAAATCAAATTCAAATAATAATCTTTAAAGCAAATAGAAACACAGGTTTTCTTAAATGTAATATTAACATCATTATTTAAATAAGTTTATTACTATAATCTGAAATTGCAATGAAATTGTATATTGATGAGAAAAGTGTTTTTAAATTATATTTAAATATTTAAATATAATTTGTCATACACGGGTTTTGAAATGGGCTATCATAAGAGTCCATTCACTAGGAAGTCTTCCTAAACAACTGTAAACATCATAATTTCAATAACAATAAAAATATTTTGATTGTACCATATACCATGCTTTATGCCTACTTATATAACCACTAATTCTCAGAATAACCTAAGAAGATATAAAGTATTAGTCCAGCTAAAATTTATCATGCAATATTTTAAATATTCAAAAAGAATAATGCATTAAATATTAATGCACTGATATCCACATTTTAGTATTACACTAAATATGTGCATTTGAAGTTCTTGTTTACCTTAACTGATAACATCCCTCTCCACCTCTAATGTAACCACTATCCTGGATTTTCTTTAAATCATTCCTGTAACTTTAAAAAATTTATATCTCTTGCCTAAGCATGCTTTACACTTTTTACTTTCTACACATTTCATCTGTGTGTCTTCTTCCACCGGCTTTTTCAATTCAATATTGATTTAGTTGAACATTGATTGATACTTTTGTTATATGTAGCTTCAGTTTATTCAGTTTCATTGTGGATTACTATTTTACAATATTTATTTACAAAAATGTTTAAATATTAGGCTGTTTTCCCAAATTTTCTTTTTGGAAATAGGGATTTATTCTTGTTTTGGGTGAGATTATTCTCTTAAATGTATAAACAAATGTGGAATTTTTTTATTTTTCTTTGATTTGTGTATTTTTCTGAATTTTATGACTAATAATCTAGTCTATGTGTTAAATACTTTCTTGCAGATTAGGACATCTTTTTGGGAGCAAAAATTTTAAATGTTGATGTATTCTAATTTATCATTTATTTCTTGATTTGTGTTGATTTTAAATACATTTTTTATAATCTTCAAAGCATAAACATAACACCCTACTACTCTAAAAATGTATACAGATTTTCTTTTCAAGTATGTCTTTAATTCATCTTGAATTAATTTTTTATGTATTGCTTAAGATTGTGATATATTTTGATCCATATTATTGACTTTTATTAGTGCTATTTGTGTAATTGACCAATCTTTAACTTGTCATATAGAAAGACTGAGTCTGGTTCTCCACTGCTCTATTACTTGATATGTCAATCTTTGTGCTAATACTAGAGAAATTTAATAATTAAAATCTTATAATCAAGGTATATCTACTTATTTTATGCTCTCCTTTCTAATAAAATATACGTGATTTTTTGTTTTCATCCTTTTTATATGTGTGTATTTAATTATTTTAAAATTCTCAAAAATTTTATATATTTATCACATACAATAAGGCATTTTGAGATTTATACACACACACACACATATACATACATACGTACATATAC